>NC_000007.14:113112839-113415869 GCF_000001405.40 Homo sapiens | reverse complement strand
ACAAAGTGAAAGGCTGTAACTTTGCAGATGCATCAACCCACCATTCTACATCAACGTGGTAACAGGATCTTCACTTCAATCTGCCAAAATTCCAAGTTTTAGGATGAGGACGACAACTTTGATGAAGGGACTTCAGAATATGAGCTCACTCTGTGGAGTGACACTCAGGACATGATCCATTTTCACATGTTCACCACTAGCAGGAGCACCACTGGTGGGTGAGGAGACCCCTGAGAGCTCAATTTTCATAAAGATGTAACAGTAACAGTAAAAAGGCTTGTCTGGGTAGATAACTTATAGGATGGGACAGAAGGGCAACTGTGTATTCATCTGGCATTGGTACATCTTATTTTAGTTTCTTATTCTTACAGTTTTTGGTCATTTTTTTCTGTATATATTTGTAAGTAATTATACCATCTGAAAATAATAATAATCTTGTATTTTCCTTTCTAAAAATTATACCTCTTCTTTTGGTTTTGTATCTTATGGCTTTAAGGATTAGTGTTCTTAGGACAATTAGATAGCAGTGATAATAACAAGTATTTTGTTTTCCATCTGATTTTAATTGGATACTCTTAAGAATTAAGTCAGCTATTGATTTGAGATGAATATTGTTATAGAAACAACATGTTAAATTTCATGTGAGTTCTAAAAAAACTTTTTTAAATAAGAGTATATACTTTTTCCAGATTTTTTCTCATTTTATTGAAATTAGCCAATTGCTTTTCCTTTTCTGACCTATTAGTTAAGAAGTAATTTACTAATTTCTTTCTTAATATTCAACTTTGTATAATGCATGTGATTTTAAATACAAGATGGAAAAACCAGACCACCCTCTGAGAAATGTTTAATCACTAAACACATTGTATACATTTCTGTCATATAAGAGATTTATATTTAATCATGATCCCAATCAGCAAGTGTCTCTTCCCACTAAAGGGAACAAATTATAACTTTTCACTGCTGCAGTAAACAGCAAACAGATTGCTGTTTACACAGAAAGAGGAAAAACAGACATAGGACAGAGCATGAAGATTAGAAACAAGCTATTCCCTCCTTAATACTAAGTAAATAGCAGCAGGCATTTTACAGAGCACATTAAAGGGAACAGACTGCTGTAGAAATCAATTGATAAAGACTTGTTAAATGAAAGCAAACTCTGAGCAATTATATTAGCAAGCAATTAGAATAATCTGTAAATGGTAGTAAGGACCCCACAACAAAGAAACCACATGGATTGCTGCCCCTTCCTTTTGTGCTCATAGTATTATTGGCTCGTTTCCATTAAACAGTAATATATTTAGTATTGAAAAGGAAATAATGGGACAATAGGACTTATGAGCTGCTGTTATGGCATTAAACAGAAAGTGCCCTTATACTGTGTAGTCAGAGAAAATTTGTCTCCAGCTGAGACTCCAGCAAGTAAATGACTATTCTTGCCAAGAGGAGATCTATTTAACTCTCTCTATGTTAAAAGCTTAACAGAGAAATTCACAAACAGAAAGAACCCTGATCATAGCCAAAATGCAGCAGACAGACACACTGAGTAGAGCATGAATGATTGGAGAGTCCTGCATGGCACCAGCGCCCTATAGAATATACTGAAGGCCAATTTCATAAGAAGTAAGTGATACATATTTAGGAAGGGGTATCTTTTAGGAAAAATATGGTGGGATATAACACCAGAAAATCCTTGGTCTGAATCTTGGTCAAGATATACTATGTGGCCATTAGCAATTTTTTGAGACTATTTTTGTTTTATCTGTAAAACGGAAATATTAATAATCACCTTGAGAAGATATCAGAACTGCATGAAATAGATGTGTGTGGCACAGGGCCCACATATGGTAAGGGTTCACTAAGAGATGGTTTGTGACTTTATTATTACTGAAGGAAACCTTGGGTAATATGACAGGGAATTAGAATAATATTTAGATAGAAATAGGGACCCTGACATAAAGAAGGGAAATTTTCCTGACAGAACATTGTGGGGCAAGAATGATATAGGACATAAAAAAATGAATAAAACTTGAGAAAAGAGGACCCCAGTATGCATACAGGTAAGGTGTGTCTATCTCCTAAGCTCTGTTAGCAAAAAAAAAAAAAAAAAAACTTAGTCAAAATTAGTTCCTTAGGGAGAAAGGAAATGTATATCAGAATCTACTTTTTTAGGTAATATGGTTTTATGTTCAAGTTAAGGTATGCATTATTTCACGTTGAACTATGAATCCACCATTCTCAATAAATCCTCTTTTGGTCTTTAGGAGATTCCATGGAAAGTAATCATGTAAGAGATAACCTCAAAGAGACTCCAGAAATCCTGGAGATCAGCATGGGTGTGATGGATAGTTTTCTGTGTCCATTTAACTGGACCACAGAATACCCAGATTAAACATGGCTTTGGGATATGTCTGTGAGGATATTTCCAAATGAGATTGGCATTTGAATCAATGGACTCGGTAAAGGAGATTGCTCTCCTCACTGTGGTGAGCATCACCGAATCCTTTGAGGGTCTGAATAGAACAAAAGGTGGAGGAAAGAGGAATTTGGGTTTTTTTCTTCTACATCACTGCGTGAGATAAGACATCTCATCTCATCTCATGTCTTCTCCTCCTGCCCTTGGACATCAGCACCTCAGGTTCTCAGGCCTTCTTAGTCAGACTGAATGACACCACCAGGTTTGGTGAGTCTGCAGCTTGCTGACAGCAGAGTGTGAGACTTCTCAGCCTCCAGAATTGTATGAGACAGTTCCTCATGATAAATCTCTTTCCTCTCTCTCTCTCTCTCTCTCTCTCTCTCTCGTATGTGTGTGTGTGTGTGTGTGTGTGTGTGTGTGTGCATATGTGTATACAATACTGACTTTGTTTCTCTGACTAAAACAATGGGCAAACTAAGTAAGTCATACCTCTTACAAAATTATGGTTTAACAGTATTTATTTTTGGGTGGACAGATTATGCATCTTCAGACTTGCCCCATTATATCTTACGTGTTTGCTTCTGTACTCGTGACTCTCATTTGACTATAAGTTCCTCAAAAGCAGGCACAGTTTTTTTCTCTTTTGTGTTCTGTAGCACTAAGCATGGCACACAGAACTGCCTTAGGGGCATTGCAGGGCTTAGATATTTTGTAGCGGTCCCACTCCATATCATTTGAAGCATATTAAATTTTAGTAGCCAGATTATGGCTCATTAAAAGATTATTTTTACCATAACATTTTAAAGATATTTGTAATTTTGGTTTTTGAAACTTGGCCATGAGCCAAATATTTTATTATTGGTTCTGACTTCTCCATAGTCTTAGCTTCATAATGCACTCTTAGAAATTCTTGCAAAGGAAAATAATCCAAATTACATTTTTTCATTGGTCATAAAATGGTAATGGACATGAAATTTAACAATTCATGAAGTTGAAACAACATTAAAAGTTGTAGACACTTAGACACTGATTACTTTTACCTTTTAGGCTTATTTTCTTTTCATAATTTGGAACCGATGGTATTTTCTTTCAGTTCTTAAATTGTCAATGGCCTTTGAAGAGTTCAAGCCCTAAGCACTAGGCCTATGGTGTAACATGAATTTACCTGCCTTAATGGCATATAGTAGATGGTCAATTAGTGTTTGTGGATTAGATAGGTAATTTGAGAGTAGACATATGCCACTGGGTATGAGCCAAAGCATTAGCATAGTTTATGGTGCAGCTTTATTTTAATGGTGATGCCACTAAGCCATTTGACACATAGCAGTGGCTAACTTTATCAGTCTCATTGTTGGAAAATTGGAAAAGTAGCATTTCTAGAATTGGAGGATTAAGCTGGTATCCAAAAAGGTGCCATCCCATAGTCTAAGTCATCCTATAGTCTAAGGACTATGATCCTCAGCAAGTGCAACCAATCTGAAAGCAGGGAAGCAGAAGTCAGACACCCTCAGGACTTCAGAGAGAGAAGTTAGGACCCACAAATGTTGGCAATATTAGAACCAGGCCTTGTTGCTGAGTCTCATGAGGGGAGGGGACGCTGAAAAGTGGGCTTAAAAACTACAGATTCCTCTGACTCTCACTTCCCTAGAAAAGCTATCTTAACAAGCCATCTTCCCCCAAACTGTGTGTGAATGTCTATAGTGAGTAGATAATCCTGAGCGCAGGAGGACTTCTTATTCTTTGGATATTATAGGAAAAAAAATTAACAATAACTTTAAGTAGTTGAGATGGACAGAGAAGAGAACAGTTGGGTGGGATTCTAAGTTGAGATTTCTTACCTTTGTTTACTGACCCCCCCACCCCCACCCCCACCCCCGTGGCAATCATGTTAGTCCTTAAAGAGCCTTTGCCTGTCCACTCCTGGACCTATAAGTCTCAGTCAGGTTACTATCTGCCTAGGAAACACCAGTGAGTCCAAGGCTGCACTCTCATTTCTAGGCAAGCTGGGAATACAGTTGAAGAGCTTTAAAGCTTCAGTCTGGATGGATATCAGTTCCCAAAAATGTCTGAGATTTTCACATCACACTATTTTTTCAGGATTGTTTCTTCACTTCTGTCGAGGGTGAAGATTCTACATGCTAGATTTGGGACAGAGGCTTTGGTAGGTGGTCATTTACAATTGAAAATTGGATTTGCCTTAATGATTCCCCAAAACACTTTAACCACAGTTGGATATCTAACTGTGAATTATGCATGTATTTCATCAAGTATTCAACTTTTTTATTAAAATGTGTTGGATACAGAATTGTCAGTCATTTGTTGGTTTAAAGTTAAAAGTTGTACAAAGTACATCTTTCTTAGCAATATTGCCTCCAGGAATTTGATAATGACATTCATGTCTGGATATTCTGTCTTACCAAGAGCTTTTGTGAGATGGAAAAATGCCAAGTATTATGTTAGAGCTGTTCCACTTTTGAAAAAATGACCATGTGCGAGAACAAATCTGACTAACACAAAGTCTCAAAGCCTTAGTGAGGAGGGTTGGAAGCTCATATGTAATGTCTATTATGTGCTAACTTTGAATACAAATATCTCTTTTAATAAGCATTGCTTTCCCAATGGTGTTTATCAGATTCATAACTCTGCCTTTTTTCAAAGCAAAATCTTGTAACATGAATTATATAAGAAGGCCCTGGATGACTTCAGAGCACTTTCTTACCTGCTCAGTCATCCTCAGTGGCACCCTATCTCCCACTGGGTCAAGTTTGAACAATTCTGAGGGCTTTCAAAGTCTTTGCTAATTTCTCTACATAACCAGCCAATTTCTCCTTCCTCCCCACAAATTTCTTCTGAACAATGTGGGTCATTCTTCTTACTAACCTGAAATATATTATGCTCATTGCCACCTCCAAGGGCCTTTTGTTCCTTTCTGTTCCCTATGCAAATGTCACCAATTTTTCAAGAATCCTTTCACAGTTCACATTTTAGCAGAGTTCTATGACCAGAAGTGCTACAAAAATGTTAAAACATAATCTTACCTATGGCACAGTCATTCACAAGTATGGACTTAAAATAATGATAATATACAGAAGTCAGTAGATATGTATGGCAAAAGAAGCTCTGATGTTTTATCTCTGTAAAATAAAGTGAAGTGTGTAGCTGATGTTGGATTGCAACTTCAAACTCTAAGTCCCTTGGAATACGAGAAGTGGCATTTTCCATGGGACCTTAGGTCAACATATGGTTTTCAATCCTCCCCTGAACTACTTGATCATAACATTGAAAAATTCAATTTTTAATAATTATCACATTCTAAAGCATAGTCCACAGTATTTGGTACTGATACCACCTCCCTAATAAGGTACCAGAATTGAAGGATAAATAAAATACCCAACTTCCTTTTATTTTCATGAAAGGAGACAGCTCTTCAAAAATGCTCTATACTTCAAAATGAAACTCATAGAGACTAACCATAATACTTTAGTTGATATTTTCTGTATAAGCAGGACAAGTAACCGTAATTATCAGTCATACAACTCTCTAGGCTTGAGTAATGTTAATTGTTCAGCAGAGGTTTCTTGCTATGGTTTTATGAAAATAGAGCAGTTGTCAGGATATTTTTCTGAAAACTTTCTTATATTTAGGGATTTTATAAGTAAAATTTTTAAAAAGTATTATTTTGAGATTAAAGGTAATGAGGACCAGATGAAATACCACACTTTTGAGGTAAATAGAAAAATACAAGTACAATTACACATGTAAAATGATCAGGTCAGGTTAAAATCATTGCATTTAATCTAAGATTGTTGATCTGATAAGAATTTCGTTTTATATAAATATATTGGTCAGGGTACTCCAGAGAGACAGGACTGATAGCATATAGAGACAAATGTGAAGGAATTTATCAGGAGAATTGGTTCACTGGATTATAGAGGCTGAGAAGTCTCATAATAGTCTGACTATAAGCTGGAGAACCAATGAAGTTGGTAGGGGGCTCAGTCCAAGTCCAAAGGCCTAAGAGCGGGAAGCAAAGGGTGAGAGGTAGCAGGGGGTAAAGAAACTGCTGATGCAAGTCCTGGAGTCCAAAAACTGAAGAACCTGGAGTTCTGATGTCCAAGGGCAGGGGAAGAAGGGCATCCCAGCTCTGAAAGAGAGACAGCAAGAATTTGCCCTTCCTCTACCTTTTTATTCAATCTGCATCCCCAGCCAATTGGAAGGTACCTGCCCACATTGAGGGCAGATCTTCCCCCACTCAGTCCACTGACTCACATGCAAATCTCCTCCAGAAACACCCTCACAGACACATCTGAGGCAGCCCACTCATTCTAATCAAATGCCAAACCACTTGGGCTTCGTTTTTAGCAAAAGAAGGATGGGCTCAGAGCCTACTAAAACATTGAGAATAATTAATGCAATTATTGAGAATAAATAATGTATTACCAGCTATCTGGATATCCCCTAATTCAGTCAAATTGATACCCAAAATCAATCATCACAATAAGCCAAAGCTACTTTTTGGTCAATAAAATCCAACAAGTATGCATTGCATATTTATTATGTCAGACCCTGTGCTAGGCTTTAGTGGCCAAAATCAAACATGGTTCCTGTTCTTATGGAGATTTTAGGTTTGTAAAGGAGACAGACAGTCATTATTCAAATGATCACACTAAGGATTGAATAACCACAAATTGAGATAAGTGCTCTGAAGGAAAGGAAGAATGCTGTATGAGAAATATTCCTAAGAAACTCAGTTCCGAGATTCCAGGTTTACTTCTAGGCACCAGGCATGCAATAGTGAAAAATAGACATCTTTCCACCCTCAAGGCACTGAAATTACAGTTAGGGGGCAGACACTGTGTGAGTAAACAAATAAATCATTCTAAATCATAGTTGTTCTCATGGAGAAAACATAGTGCATGGTGATGAAGAACAACATGGAGAGGGGCTGATTTAGATAAAGAGATAAAAGGAGCTTTTCTTGGGAGAAGCACGGCTGAGATCTTAGAGATGAGAAGGATCCAGCCATTTGATATGATGTTAAGGGCCAAGAAAGCATATAGAATGGTCCTGAAACAAACAAAAAGGAGATCTGTTTGATTAAAGGTCACAGGGTAAGCCACAGTAGCTGGAACAGAGAAGGGAAGAGAAGAGAGACATGAAATAGGATTATAAAAAATAGACCATGGTGAAATCATCAGAACTTCATAAGGAATGTTAAGTTTGGATTATATCCTAAGTGCAGTGGGAGGGCACAAAAGGGTACTGAAATGATTTAAAGTTTAATATGTTCCTTTTGGCAACTAAATAGATTGTTAAAGAAGGAAGTTCGGTTGGATACTAGTGCTATTCTCTGAGCAAGAAGGGACGGTACCAGAGCGCTGGCAGGGAAGACAGAAGTAGAGATTTGAGGTATATTTCAAAGGGTAGACACAAATAATATGTTGATGAATTAGCTGTAGGAAGGGAGAAGGATTAGAAAAATTAAACTAATGATGACTTCCACGTTCCTGGCTTAGCAGTTGAGTGGACACTGTTAACCTTTACTGGGATGGGGAAGTTTAGAAACAACAAATTTGAACTGAGATGGGGTGGAGTGAGGTGGAGATCTGAAATTCAGTTGCAGTAATGTGGAGTTTGAAATGCCTGGGAGACAGCTTATTTGAAATGTCAGGTGAGCAGTTAAATATGGATAAGAAGAGACATGTAAAATAGGCATCACTGAGGGGTCCTCAGCATGTAAGTGTTACGTGAAGTGATGGTAATAAGCATTATCACCAAAAGAAAGAATGCAAAGATATAAAAGAGTGTGTAAGACCAAGCTCTTCAGAAAAAGTTAAAACTAGCAAAGGAGACTGACAGGAAGTGGCCAGTGAAATCTGGAACACCGGACATCATAAAATTTCTAACAGAGAGTGTTTCAGAGAATGTGTTTTTTTGTACTCTAGGCTTTTGTTCATCTATTGACAAATACATAGGAATTTATTTTAAAGGGTAAATGACATATCAAAATAACAGCATATCACAACAATAATAATTCATAATGGATACAGTCTATAAAGTATTTCTGCATATCTCACTTCATCTCAACAATAAGTATATTTTATTAGTGATCATATTATGAATTTAAAGATATTGGAGCTCATGGGAGCAACTGAAATTTAGTAATTCATTTATTTAATAAGTATTGTGAACTTCTGCTATAAGAGACATTTTCTAGACACTACGGATATAGATGTGAACAAAAGAGATCATGTCCCTGAACTCATGGCACTTACTTTCCAATGGATATTGTACTGCAGTGTTCATAATGTGCCATACAGGGCTAACACTTATTCAAAGGTGCAGGGTTTTGACTGCAGACATTAATTAAAAAAGAAAAACTTAATTGCTCAGTGTTTTTTTAAACAGTTCAGTAGTATTAAGTATATTTACCTTGTGCAAGCAGCTCACTTATTTGAATTCTTACAAATGTGATGTATCTAAGCATACTACTAATTTAATGAGTTTGGGGACATATCATATTAAGTAGACTAACCATACATGGTCACTACATATCTATATAAATGACATATTGAGGGGTCTGTATCTTAAACCTTTCAAAAATCTACCTATGATCCGAGATTCTTTAATAATATCAGTGCTTGCCAAGGAGTTAAAAAGCATGAATATTTGTACTGTTTGTATCTAATAAAGTTTTTTGTTCACTTGGGCATACTCCATTTAATATTCTATAAATGTAGTTGTTGCAGTATATGAGTGTCCTGATATCCCATACATATTCTTTATTTTGTTTTCACAAATAAAGTAAGGTTTAGTACTGCTTTGACAAAACACAAGGTCGCCAAGTTTGCACTTTTTCAAATAATACAGAAGAAAATAAATCTCAATGTATTTAATAGCACATACTTTATCTTATTTTTCTTATCCTTTTTTGCTCTAGGAATTTATTTCTGTCTAAAGTAATCTATGGATGCCACAAAAAATGTGGCATCTTTATCTGTGAAGGAGTCAGATAACATTAGTGCTTGGTTGATTTATCAATGTGTCTGGCAGTTAAAAGATTTGTGTGTGGGTCATTCTGATAGAACATATGTAACGTTGATTTTTGTTGCTAGATTCATGCTAAACAGACTTGACCATATAATCTTTGTAAGAGCCACTGACCCTCTGAAAACTGCTTTGCATTTGTCCTTGTGTTCTGTATAAAATCCTTAGTTTGGATTCCTTTACCCTTCAAAATGACCATGATGGTCCCTTGCTTATTTTTTTTTCTTTTTTCCCTTTGGGAATTTACACTGGCTAAAGAACACATTCTAAGAACTGACCTTCATTATTGCCATGGCTGAATCATTCTTAAAGCAACTTCGGTTTTAAAGAGAGATTTGTATTTAATGTCCTCCCTGGCATTTCATAAGGTTAAAGAGGAGCTTAACGATAACCTTCATGTACAGCAGGTAGAGTCTGCAGTCATTACTATATGAGTGCAGGTGAATAGCTATATTATTTCCACTAAAGAGAAGAGAAAAAAATAAAACTTGACTGAAGCAAGTTTGAGCCAGACTAATGGTTCTCCATGTGGTGATGCCCCCCTATAGGAGGGATTTGGGAAAGGCATGGGGTATTTTTGGTAATCATAAGAGAGGACACCACTTGCTTTTCACAAGGGAGGACTACATGTTCTGCAGTGTGTGGAGGAGGCCTACCGACCAAGAATTGTCCCAAATGACTTTTAAATGTCCTGCTGGTCTCTTACGTGGATGAAAAAATATTTATAATCTGAGCTTAGAATCTAACCACATTTTACAATAAGCGTAGTTTTCCCTAAGATAATTTTTCTGGGAATGCCAGTCTTTGCCAAATGGTGGGAAGATTTTACCTTGCTTTAGTTGGATTTTAGCCAAGATTTGTTTGCAATTTTGTAAAATCATGTCCCTGACAGCAGTGTCACTTGGTGGGGGTTGAGTCACCCTGTACAACCAGTTCAATACACCTACATCAATCTGGATTTGGAACAGTCACATTTCTGGAATTCTATGTGTAGGTGCAAGCATCTTACTACTTCATTTTATTTTCTTGTGTGGTCCTGACTGAATATTTACATACTGAAATGTGTATTACTTCATTTAAATTTATTTCATTGATTTTTATAATTAAATCAGATATATTGATTGTTAACAGCTTTATTGAGGTATAATTGACACACAAAGAGCTGCATGTATTAAGGAGTACAATTTGATGGGTTTGGATATATGAAAAACACCTGTGATACCATCACCACTCTTACATTGATCTTTATACTACAAGTAAGATATAGTATCTAAAATTTCATCTTAGAATGAAAAAGGGAGAACTACAAAATATTTGTTATAAAAAGGGTCATTGGCTAAACGCTAGAAAGAACAATAGTCTTCTGACTTCTGACACTTATGGGAGAAAGGAAATTGTAATATCTCCTCTCTAGAGGATTTAGATTATGTTAATTTGGACCTCAAGTACAGTGACTTCTTCAGTCAACCATTTTGAAAGCACTGACTAATTATATTGGAATTACACAGACCAGTAATTCACCCTTCAACATCACTGTCTATTACAATGCAAAGGTTTGTTTCATCATGGTCCTTAGCCTGAGAGCCCCTACCCAGGGCCCTTAGAACATATCATAGGATCTTCTTTGTGATAGAGTGAGTAAACATATGAGATGCAAAACTCATGTTTATTTATTCAGTCCCATATTGTTCCCTGAATTGTACCTATTCCCTGTGTAGCCTGATAACCCTGTTGCCTCAGATGAGCCAAAAATAAAGCCTTTCTTCATAGATAAACATTATGTCCCCCCGCCCCGCCCCCACAGAAAACTTGTATCATTGATTTGTGAAGCTTATAATTTGTTGGCACTTCCACTGCGGTCCAAGCTGGTATTCATGCCCAGGAAAATTCAGCTAGGCCATGTACTCTTAGCTCCCCTCTTCCTTTACCCCGTCCCCTCCCTCCAGAGGCTTTCAAGACCATAGACAAATGTGCCCTCTGGTGGCTGATGATCATCTCATTATTTTTTGACCTAGGCTCAGCTTTTCACTATACACGTTGAACTTTTGATAATCTGAAATGTGCGTAATAAAAAGTAACTATCTTTATATAAGGCTGTGGTAGCATCCTGGCCAGAGACAAGAAAGATTTTTTTAAAAATCGCCTTAATGCGTCAAGGCACTCTAGTGTGTTAGTTTTTTTGTAGACTCTGGACCCAGAATTTTTTGGTTCAAATACAAACTGTGCCATTTACCAGCTCTGTGACCTTGCTCTGTTTATTTAACCTGTGCATCTTAATTATTCTGTAAAATGGTGTTAATAATACTACCTACCAAATAGGATTGTAATGAGGATTAGATGAGTTAATTAATGCAAAGGGCTTAGAACAACACCTTGCACATAGTAAGCACTCAATAAATACTAGTTATTGTTCCTAGAGTTGTGCTTCTGTTTCCAGGGCTATTCACTTATACTTGAAAATACATATACTTTCCCAGGTGTTCAAGTCAGAAAGTAATCCAAATGCTCATCCTCAATTTCCTCTCACGCTTCATAAAAAAGTTAAGTTCTTTCTCCAAATCACAAGTATGTGAAAATTAAATACTTTCTCATGATCTCGTGTACTTAAAAATGTGTAGTATGCCTTCTTTTTTGTAAAATTTGAACCAAGAGGGGATTTGGGCATGGCAAGCAGGAATAGGTCTATTTAGGGGTTTAGTAATTCTGATTCAAGTAAGTCCTGACTTCATCTGCAAACCAAGTAACACTGCATAGAATCTTGTAACTTTGCAGCATTTTTCTTCTTACAATTTTGAATATTTGTTTCTTCTTTGTTGGAGAATAACATTTCAGCCTTCTTTTCACATTATTATTCTGATGTGTCTAATACCTCTTCATTACTCTTCACAGCACCAGTGATTACCACCTTGTCCAAATATCAATTAATGTCTGATTATGATTATGATGTTGATGTAGCCAAAACAGAGGAGCTTTTGATTACTCTGTCTCTGTGTCAGATTTCCAGGGTATATCTAAATGAAATATTGAGATCATTCATTTTGATTGAATTACCTAATAATCAGTAAAACTGACTCCTCAAACTACCCTGAATTTACTAGCACTTTTTGTCTGATTGAGGAGACACAGCCGGAAGGTCATACAGATGCTACACTTCTCTCTTCTGTACAAAGTAAAAATACCAGGGCCGCCCTCTCCCCTTCTATATTTATGTTTAAAATATCTGACATGAAGATGTGGAAAATTCAGCCACATTTAATTATTACTCTCAATAATTTACATTTGTTTATATTTACCTTTTTTTTTTTTTTTACAGCAATCACTGTGTGGTCTTTATTCCCGAATAACATTATAGGCTGGATTCCAGTCAATTGGTTAGAACAGAGGGTTTTGATGACAGGTAAAGATAAGGGCTGCAGTGCCTGAAATCCTGCCCTCAGCAATTTTTCTCTTGTCTCTTAGGATCTATTATAAGACAATACCATTTTATAAAGTGTCTTATAATTTGTTAGATAACACTAGAAGTACACATTTAAATGTTCAAAGAGCTAAAAATAAATCTTTCATCCATATAGACATAATTAGAATGCTACATTTTTATGTCTACCCAAGTCCCTAGGATGCAATTGCCACATTTCCCAATAGAAAAGAAAACAAATCTATAAACTCTGGCAGGGTGTCCCCAAAGGACATTCTGCTGCCTCCTTTGAAAGCATCAAATGCTAGAGAAGCTTCTAGCCTTCCACAGCTCAAAGAATTCCTTGCTCACAGACTAACACTATTGCTGCAGCACATCTCATGATTTTCTCTAAAAACAAAGGATTCAAAAGTAATGGAGAGGGCTCAGTAAGTTAGCATTATTTTATGATCAATTTTAATTAATCATTTAAGTAAGGCAATCTGCACTACATACATCATATGGAAGAATTCATCACAGTGTCACTTGCTTATAATAAAAAATAACCCTCATTTTCTTAAAAGCTTCTTAAGATGGAGGAGGGAAGCTGTAAAAAGAGGCTAAATGGAGAAAAAAAGGAAAAGAGATGGATGGAAAGAAAATAGATGATAAGACAGGGAAGCATTGTAATATTTAAATGCTAACAGTGTGTCTATCTTTGTTCACTTATCGTGCTTGACAGTGCAAATGAACAACAGAGTAGGGAAACGCATGGTATGGTAAATTATTATGGATATGTCAGATAAGCAGTTTGTCTGATGTTTCCATCTCTGCTGCAAGGCTGGCTTAAAACTGTGTGACCTATTCTTTAGAGAGTCAAAGATAAACTCTACCAATTGTGTAATTCCTCCTACTCTGATAGAGATAAATGTGTTTGTATTTTTTCCAACTAATCCTCCTTGTTGGCTGATAAAATAAGGCTGCATCCACATGACATACAAAAATTGAAGATATCCAGACAAGTATCCAGCCATCTGCCCATTGGGTCATGTTGTTATCAGGGTTTCTTTTAGATTAAACAGATGTGTTGTAAGTTAATACAAAAATGAATCCAAAAACCTGGATCCTCTAAGGTAGTGGTGCCAATCCTTTGTTGCAAAAAACAAAACAAAACAAAATGCAGGGGAAAGTTTTGCAAAGTGCCAATATTCAGGTACTATTGAATACATATTGAATCATTTTCTCTGGGTATGACTCTGGGCATCGTTTCTTTTAAGTTTCCATAGGGATTCTAAAAGTGCAAGCAGTTTTGAGAACCATTTTCTTTAAGCTTTAAATAATACTCTTGGCCAGGCGTAGTGGCTCACGGCTGTAATCCCAGCACTTTGGGAGGCCAAGGTGGGTGAATCACGAGGTCAGGAGATTGAGACCATCCTGGCCAATATGGTGAAACCCCATCTGTACTAAAAATACAAAAATTAGCTGGCTGTGGTGGCACACACCTGTAGTCCCAGCTACTTGGGAGGCTGAGGCAGGAGAATTGCTTGGACCCAGGAGGCGGAGGTTGCAGTGAACCAAGATCATGCTACTGCACTCCAGCCTTATGACAGAGCGAGACTTCATCTAAAAAAAAAAATAGAAATAAAAAAGAATACTCTTAACATGCTCAGGTACTCTTAATCTTAATACTCATTATGGTCAGAGTATTAATCCTAAGATAAAGGTTCATTTTAAGATTAATACTCTTGATATGGTCAAATTTCAAACAAATCTCATATTTTGTAAAGTTTACAGGGCACTTTCAGTGTCTCAGAGATTGAGTCAAAAATATATGTATTAAAACAGAACAATAATGGGTTAGGAGATTAAACCAATAACCAAAAACCTCCAACCAACAAGAAAGAAAACCCAGGAATTACTGACTTCTCTGGTGAATTCTAACAAATATTTAATAAAAAAAATTTAATGCTGAACCTTCTCAAACTCTTCCAAAAAAATTGAAAAGGAAGGAACACTTCCAAATTTAGTTTTTAAGGCCAGCATTACTCTGATAACAGAGCCAGACAAGAATAGGAAAAGGAAATAAAACTACAGGCCAATATTCTAGATAAACAAAGATGCAAAAATGGTCAACAAAATGCTAGTAAACTGAATTCAACAGCATAAAGAATCATATTCCATGATCAAGTGGGATTTGTTCCAAAGATGCAAAAATGGCTCAACATATGTAAATCAATAAATGTGATATACTACATGAAAATAATTAAGGATGAAAATCATATAATCATCTCAATAGATGCAAAAATTTTTGACAAAATTCAACTTCCTTTCAACAAATTAGTTATAGAAGGAATATACTTCAACATAATGTAGGATATATATGAAAGCCCATAACTAACATCATACTTAATGGTGAAAAGCAACAAGTTTTTCCTGTAAGATCAGAAATATGACAAGGATGCCCAATCCCATCACTTCTCTTCAATATAATACAGGAAATATTGAACAGAGCAATTAAGCAAGAAAGATAAATAAAAGACATCCAAATAGAACAGAAGAAGTAAAATTGTTGCTGTTTGCAGATGACATGATCTTATGTATAAAATATGCTAAGGACTTCTTCAAAAAACTGTTAGAACTAATAAACCAATTAAGTGAAGTTTCAGGAAAAATATCAACATGTAAAGATCATTGCATTTCTCTACATTAACAACAAACTATCCAAAAAAACAAAATTAAGAAAATAATCTCATTTACAATAGCAACCAAAAGCAAACTACTGTGGAATAAGTTTAACAAAGGAGGTAAATGATCTGTACACCAAAACCTATCAAACATTGATAATAGAAATTGAAGAAGACACAACTAAATGAAAAGATGTCCCATGTTCATGGATTAGAAGAATTGATTGTGTTAAAATGTTCATACTACCCAAAGCAATGCAATGCCTATCACAATTCCAATGACATTTTTCACAGAAATATAAAACACAATCCTAAAACCAGAAGGAAGCACAAAAGACCTTGAATAACCAAGGAGATATGGAGAAAGAACAAACCTGGAGGCATCCACACTACTTGATTTCAAAATGTAACACAAAGCTATAATAATCAAAACAGAATACTAACATAAAAACAGATATATAAACCAATGGAACACAAAATAAAGCACATATACACAAATTTCACTCATATATGGTTGACTGATCTTCAATAAAGATGGCAAGAACACACAATGGGGAAAAAACAGCCTATTCAATAAAAGGTATTGGGACAACTAAATATCCACACGCAAAAGAATGGAATTATCTCACACCATATACAAAAATCAACTCAAAATGAATTAAATATTTAAATGTAAGACTTGAAACTGTAAACTACTGAAGAAAACATAGGAAAAAAGCTTCTTGAAATTGATCTGAGCAATGATTTTTTGGATATGAACTCATGTATTATTCTGTTCTCATACTGCTATAAAGAACTACCTCACACTGGGTAATTTATAAAGAAACAGGTTTAATTGACTCACAGTTTCACAGGGTTTACAGGAAGCATAGCTGGGGAAGTGTCAAGAAACTTACAATCATGGCAGCAGGCAAAGGGGAAGCAGCCATGTCTTACATGGCTGGAGAAGGAGGAATAAGGTGAAGGGAGAGGTGCTACACACTTTTAGTCAACTAGATCTTGTGAGAACTCACTCACTATGAGGGAGATACATCCCCATGATCCAATCACCTCTCATCAGGCCCCTCTTCCAACAATGGGGATTACAATTTGCCATAAGATTTGGGTGGGAGCACAAATCCAAACCATATCACCGTATGGCCTCAAATCACAGGTAACAAAAGGAAAACATAGACTGATAAGATTGCATCAAACTGAGCCTTCTGCACAACACGGGAAACAACCAAAGAGTGAAAAACAAACTATGGAATGGGGTAAAATATTTGCAAACCATACATCAGATGAGAAGTTAATATAAAGATATATGTAAGAAACTCAAACAACTCAATAGCAAGAAAACTAATAACCCAATTTAAAAGAGGCCAAGGGACCTGCATAGACATTTCTCAAAAGACGATATGAAGATGGCCAACAAGTATATTAAAAATGCTCAACATCACTAATCATCAGGGAAATGCAAATTAAAACCATAATGATATATCATCTCATACCTGGTAGAATGGCTTCAAAAAGACAAAAGGTAACAAATATTGATGAGGATGTGGAGAAAAGGGAATCTTTATACAATGTCTGTAGAAATGTAAATTTGTATAGCCATTATGGAGAATGTATGGAGGTTCTTCAAAAATTTAAAAATAGGAAGACCAACATGATCCAGCAATTTCACTTCTGGGTATATAGATATACATGTTTTAGTCCATTCTAGCATTGCTGTAAAGCAGTTACCTGAGACTAGGTAATTTATAAAGAAAAGAGATTTAATTGACTCACAGTTCCACAGGCTGTACAGGAAGCATGACTGAAGGAGGCCTCAGGAAACATACAATCATGGCAGAAGGAGAAGAGGAAGGAGGCACAACTTACATGGCTGGAGCAGGAGGAAGAGAGAAGGGGAGGTGCTACACACTTTTAAACAACCAGATCTTGTGAGAACTCACTATCATGAGAACAGCAAGGGGGAAGTTTGCCTCCATAATCCAAGTCACCTTCTACTAGGCCCCTTCTCCAGCATTGGGGATTACAATTTAACATGAGATTTGGGCGGGGTCACAAAATCAAACTATATCATTATTCAAAGGAAATGAAATCAGTATCTCAAAAGGTATCTGTATTCCCACTTGTACTGCAACATTGTTCACAGTAGCCAAAATAAATAAAGAAAATATGATACATATGTAAAATGAAATACTACTCAGCCATAAAAAAAAAGAATAAAATCCTGTCATTTCCAGCAATCTTGATGAACCGAGAGGACATTATACTAAGTAATATAAGCCAGGCACAGAAAGACAAATACTACATGATCTCACTTCTATGTGGAATCTAAATAAGTTGAATTCCTAGAAGTAGGGAATAGAATGGTGGCTTCCAGGGAATGAAGAGAGGGAAATATGTGGAAATGTTGGTCAAGGAGTACCAATATACAGTGAATAAGTTCTGGAGATCTAATGTATACCATGATGGATATAGTTAGTCACACAATACTGTGTTGTAGACTTGAAATTTGCTAAGAGAATAGATCATAAATGTTTTTCCCCACACACACAAAGTAAAAACATTAACTATGTGAAGTAATGGGTATATTAATTAGCTTGATTGTGGTAATCATTTCACAATGTATACATATATCAAAACATTATGTTGTGTACCTTGATTATATACACTTGGGTTTTTTTTAGTTTTTATTTATTATTTTTGGGATGAGTTCTCACTATGTTGCCCAGGCTTGGTTCCAGCTGCTAGGTTCAAGGAATCTTCCTGCCTCAGCCTCTTGAGTAGCTGTGACTGCAGGAAAGTGCCACTGTACCCAGTTTTCATTTGTCAATTATATTACAACAATGGTGGAGGGGGGGAAGTATGTTAAAAAGTGAGACATTAAACCAAATAGCAAAAGTAAAATAATTATAAAAGAAACAACTGTGAAGTCAGGACATTGAGTTCAATTCAGCAAATGATTACTTGAGCACCTACTAAATGCAGCAGGTTCTATTTCGGTTGAATGATAAATGGAGGTAAATAAGGTAATTAAATGATCTCACTAGATAGGATTATTTTACCAAGAATAGTGACCAACATTTACATACACCTCCTCAACATAGGATGAAATAAGCACAGTATATGTCATAGGGAATGTAGGCAAGTGTTAAGGAAAATATTTGGGGTGGAAGAATCTTCAGCCCTTAAATAGAAACTACTGAAGATTGTGACTCTTCTGAACTGGAATGTTTAAAATCAAGTACAAATTCATCTGTCTGAAACCACAATGTGTTACAGCTTTACCATGCTGTGATTTTGTTGTGGTTTCTGCTCCCAAGTTTCTTCAATTTCCCCAAGTCCTCCAATTATCTAGTGCTGCCCCCTGCATTGTTAAGAAAGAAGAAATTCTACTTGGTAAGTCTGAATCAGGACTCTGGGCTATTCTTCCCTCTGCACTTCATGCTATTATCCTCAGGACATTTAGCCCTGAGCTAGAGCTAGAAACTGTGTTGTTGTTGTTCTTCATGTTTACGTAGAAGCAGAAATATAATGAAATGACATTTTTAAATTTTCTTGAAGAAAGTAACCTATAGTTTACTTCACCTACAGATTAAAGTAGATTTCATACGGTACATTGGTAAAACTTTAATTGCAATTGGGGCACTTTTTTCAGTCTCTAATCTTTAAGGAGTTCAACGAACCTTGTAGATAAATTAGCCCTTATCCCCACAGAAAAGAGGGTGTAGATGTTCCATTGAATTTTATCATTCAATGGAACATCTTATCATGTGTTTCTTTCTCATTATTCACTCATTCAAAAAATGTATATTGTGCTACGAATGTGTGCAAGAAAATTGATTCTTGTTAACCATTACTGCTATAATTGCTTCTGGATTAAAAGCCCAATAAAATATAAATGAAATACAGTCTGATAGAGGGTGCTAGTGTTTCTCTATTTGCGTCTCTCCCTCAATTCCAATTCACTTCTACTTGTCTCTATGCCTGCGAATGTTGAGCCCTGCAGAGTAAATTGATGATGAAAATACCATCATGAAAAAAATATTCTAGTAAAGATAAGCATACTTGAAACATGTAAATAAATAACATTGGTTGAAAATAAGTCCCATGATTAAACTTAACCAGGGTGAAGGGATAGAGGGTCTGGAGTGGAAATTTTATCTGAGGCAAACAAAGAGGGCCTGTATTAGTCCCTTCTCACACTGCTATAAAGAACTACCTGAGACTAAGTAATTTAAAAAGAAAAGAGGTTTAATTGGCTCATGGTTCCATAGGCTCTACAGGAAACATGGCTGGGGAGACCTCAGGAAAGTTACAATGACGGTGGAAGGCAAAAGAGAAACAGACACATCTTTCCTACAAGGTAGAGCAAGAGGAAGGGAGAGAAGGAAGTGCGACACACTTTTAGTTTTATTAATTTTTTGTTTTTTAGACAAGGCCTCACTCTGTTGCCCAGGCTGGCGTGCAGTGGTGCCACCTCAGCTCACTGCAACCTCTGCCTCCCAGGCTGAAGTGATCCTCCCACCTCAGTCACCCACAGTGCTGGGATTACAGGCGTGAGCCACCGTGCCTGGCCTACTACACACTTTTAAACAAGATCTCATGAGAACTCACTATCAGGACAATATCAAGGGGTAAATCCACCCCCATCACCTCCCACCAGGGACCTCCTCCAACACTGGTGATAAAAATTTGACTTGAGATTTGGGCAGGGACACAAATCCAAACCATATCAGAGCCTCTACGAGAATGTGAGCTTGGGCATAATGCTGCAGAAGTGAGGAGGCAAACAAACACTATTCCTCCAGACATTTCCGAGAAATATTTAGAGGAAACAGCAAGAATGAAGACCTGAGGCAGGGGAGTACTCAGTGTACTGGATAAATAATGAGAAGGGAGAATGCTGCAGAGGTGCAAGCGAAGGGATTTGGTGTGGTGGACGGTGCAGTAGGAATCTTTTTTTGAAATACTTCCACATAAAGAAATCAGCCCTCTTTCCTTCTATACTCTGTACCCTGACCCTTTCTGCTATAAGCAGGCATTTGAGGAAGACTGAGATTTCCTAATTTTAACCTAACAGAGTCTGAATAGGAGGAGAATTCATATATTAGTCAGTGGCCTGGCAAGAAACAAGACCCAGTCCACTAGGATTGTTAGGAGGATTTGAGTAAGGGAGTATCTACAGAGGAGCGGGCAGCCAGCAGCTAGGCTAGCACAGCATGAAACCACCACCTGCAGGGCAAGAGGAGGAAATGATATTATTATACAAGAGTCTGAGGAGCTGCAGCCATGCAACAGGAGTCAGTTGCTCAACAGGACCTGTAGTTGTGGATTAGGCAGCCCCTACCAGACTGGAGATACAGAAAGAAAGAAGGGGATGCAATGCCCAGCCTCTCTCTCCCCCGACCCTCCTGTTTCCTGTGAGTTCCTCCTATTGGCCCAATTCACCTGGAAGCCAGAAGACAAGGAGCCCCGGTAATTTACACTAAAGGGCTCAACATTTGCAGGCACAGAGACGAGTAGAAGTGAATTGGAGTTGAGGGAGAGATGAAAATAGAGAAACACTAACATCCTCTATAAGACTTTATTTCATTTATATTTTATTGGGCTTTTAATCCAGAACCAATTATAGCAGTAATGTTTAACAAGGATCATATAAATATGTAAGCATGTTACAACTTGTAAAGAGTCAATATGATATTTTTCAATTCATTAAAAATTCAGATGCCTATGAAGCTTCAGAGCAATTTAGATGTTTTTAATCTACTATTCCAAAGAGGGGGTTTGCATGTTTGTACAGACCATTTTTTTTTTAATTGTACATTTATCTATGTCTGTTATATTGTCTTGAGGGTTTGAAGAAATTGCTATTCTGTTCAAGTGAGTAGTCTCAAACATTACTTGCTTGTCTTTATTCCAGATCCCAAGTACTTTTTGGAGGGCCAAGATGCATGCAACTGTGCCTCGTTGTTATTCAACAGGAAGTCACATACCTGACTATCCTGTACCTGATAGAGATCTCTGTACATTTCTCACTGGCCTACAAGGTTGCTGTGTTGTCTGAGATTGTGCTTGGAGTTTAGAGTCACAATTTCACTTCAAAACTCTTACTGGAAATTGCTAAAAATCGGAGATGATGTCAATTTACACATCTTCACAATACTCACTAGAGACAGTTTTGGTTAATAAGGATGTGAGGTGAATTGTACCATTATGCCTCAGGCTGTGACTTTAATCACACAGCATAGACCTTGCTTTAGCAAGAACGCATCCAGGAGGTTATCTGTCCTGCTTTTAAGAACATTCTTCTAATGTTTTTCTAATATTTTACAATCCTGTGCATGGATGCTAATTCAGATGATTTGCTGAACTATTTCCCAATCAAAGGAGGTTATTTTTGTGCACTATTTAATAATTGTGCAAGATAAGAAAATAAGGTGAATTGTTTCTTCTTTTCCAGAGTTAAAGAACAGTTGAGATGAGAACCCTTACCTGCTTCCCAGTAACAAGGCCAATATGCTGGCACACATTCCTGAAGTTAGGAATCATTAATAATTTATAGCCGCATTGCTTTAGGTAATTTGTCTCCCCATTCCAGTGCATGTACACTCAAAGGCAAAGGAAAAAATAGCTAAAGAAGAAAACTGGAATTGAATGACGACTTAGTCATGATCAGCCTGCATCAAATACCAAAAATGCCCAACATTGAAAAACACACAGAACATCTGAAGCAGAAAGAACTTACAGATAAAAATGATCCAATGGTCTTGACTACCCTAAAACAGAATTTTAGAGCTGCAAGGAAACAATGAGTGTCACTAATCTCCCCCATTTCGTTAGAGAGGACAATGAAGCATAATGCCTATTACAGAACTGACCCCAATTCAAGGAAAAGGGGCTTGACTTTTGCATGCATAGGTCATTGTATGTAGGCCACCTGGAGGAGGAGGATAAGCATAACTTCCTGGATGAGGCAGCTTTCAGGACAGCTGTGAGCCATTTGCAGCCAACTCTGAAATTGAGGGCTGGTATACCAATCCAGTAATGGGATTCTGGGCAGGCCACCAACAGCATCTTCCATGGAGTCAAAATTTAAACTCATGTTGCCAGACTTCTACAAACCTTCTTCATAGTATGCTATGTTCTCCAAAGGATACTTTACCCTCTCCCCCTTCTCATTATACCTTAACTCAACCTCTTTTGCTTTCTCCCCTCTCATTTATTGTAATAGTAAGCCAGGCAAGACAAATTGAACCACATTTATTTCCTCTTGCCTCTTTGTTTCTTCAGCTGCTCGTAATTGTGAGAAGTGGTGTTGAGTGTTCCTGACAACATCAGGGCACTGCTTTGGCATGCTGCACAATTTTGTGTCCTTGAAGAAGTATAGATTTTAGGATTATGTCAATAATAATAGATCTAAAATTCACATTTTCAGCCTAGGACCCAGTCTCTTACTTCTTTCTGAACAGAAGGCAATAAACAAAGTATTTAGAGCAAATGAATCCACTTATAAACAACACACTGAAAATGTAAAGATAGTAGAAATAAAAAGCTGGACCACAGGGGAAGATTCAAGTAATCACACACCTTAAATAACAGAAGTCTGCGAATTCATGCTGGCAGACCTAAGTAGGTCACCTAATCGGTTGTTTACTGTGCTGTTGGATACGAAGCATGATAAACTAAGCAGGGAGAAAACTGTATAAGTTCCATCTCCATAACAACGAAGATGAGAACAATTACAAGAGACCCTTGCCAGCCACCTCCACAAAATCAGTTTTAACCTCAGAGCAATGAGGAGTGACATAGCAAACTACGTCTGATGTCTGAACAACACAGGGCATTGGGCCAGGTAAAAACTTGCCCTTTTCAGAGGAGTGAAGACTTTGATGCACGGACACATTTGCTGAACCAGATTAAACCTTGAAAGGACTGAGCAAACTAGTGCAAGAATAATGTAAAACAGGAGAATGAGGATTTTAAAAGTAATTTAATTTCAGTATATACTATGTAAAAGATGAGACAACAAAATATTATAGTAAATATTAAGAGATTGGTGCATTGTCGAGACTTACTATATTATCAAAGATATGTCTTATCTTAGACATGGTACTGTACATGATAACTTGATATTAAGGTCTAAATAATGTTTTGAAATCAACTTTTGTTCCTTTTATCTATCTTACTTAATGTTAAAAAATCTAAACTGAATTAAACCCTTACCTCTGTTTAATCATGACCTCAAGTCATGATTAATCTCCTTTAGTGTTTGCAACAGTTTCCTTCAACAAACTTTTCAAAGCAAGCCAGATAATTGTCTTATGTTTATTTTTTAAATGTACAAAAGAAACTTGCTTGAGTGGTTTATTTATAGATACTTTTGCCAGTGGATTAGGAATTTTATCTTTTCACATAAAATTGTCCCTTGCATCCAACTAATCTGCTTTTTAGAAACTGACCCTGGACATTTGGACTTGATCTTTGATTTCACATTTCTGGACATTCTCCAGATAACTTGGTAATTCTCTGAGAAATTTTGAGTCTGTATTATTTTTTCCAATATAGAATATATTTAAAAGGATTGCTAGTAGCAAATCCAATGTATCAGTAATTACTTCTCAACCTCTAACAAATTATTGCCAACAGGATTTGAACTTCTGATAATCACTTTCTCTTCTTCTTTCCAGCCCTAATTCTTTATTCCTTGAATTTCTTTAGGCAGGAAAGTTTCATTGTATTGAGCAGCAGTGACTGGACATCTCTAACTGCAGCCAAATTCTGCAGATTATCGAGAAAACAGTTTGCAAAGGAGTGAGAAAACGTCATTCAAGAAAACTTTCCTGGTTTGGGTGGACATAGCCGAAGTGGATTTGAATATCTGTCTTTACAAGTCAAAATTTATACCAGGAAGCTCTAATGAAAATGGTGTCACTCAACAAATCTATAAGTAAATTCATTCTAAAGACTTAATGAATTCATTCCCAACATCTGGAACATTATTAATTTCCTTTCATTCTTTGCAACCTACATAATTAAATTAAGAAATTATAATTTAGGTCAGCCTGTTGTGAAGAGATTTTATTTAATGTAATCAGTCTTTAGAAGAGCCTGTTCCTAGTCACCTTTGTTGCCCTTTCAAGAACATCAAAGCACTATCTAGAGTGATGAAAAGCATGGCCTGTGATGCTGGGTTGGAAGCCCAGCCCAGCCTGCCCCTCCTATCACTATCTATGTGTGAATTTGGTAAATTGCTGAAACTCTAAGCATTTGTTTCTCTATCTTTAAAAAGGGGTCATAAGAATAGTAATAACCTCACTGGGCATTAGTGAGGATCTGATGAATTCGTGTGAGCAATGCCCTCTACCCAGTGCCTGACACAGTAACTGGTCAATAAAAGATTGTTTGCCATGTTTGAAAAGTAAGCAGTATAATATTTTTTACTATATAGTACTCTGTTGCCACAATGTAACTATGTAACTAGAGTTAAGTAGAAATGCTCCTATTGACAAAGAATTTTGATATTTCTAGGATGTGAAGCTGATTCTACTTTGTTCTATAAAATCCTTCAATGGTTTCCCATAATTTTGCCAAAAGTGTGCAAAACCCTCATCGTGATACACAGATTATCTCATCATCTTCCCTGCCCTCACTCCATATTTTCCCAGCTTTGTTCACTACACTCTGGGCTGGAATAGATGCACTAGACATACGACACTGCTAATTGCCCCTTGTCCATGGCCGTGTTCCTTTGTATAAGCTGTTGGCAACCCTCTCTTTGCCTTCCTTTACCTTCTGCCACACTTGTGCTCCTCTTTATTGACCCCAAGCATCTTTTCTTCTGGGTAGTTTGTGTGGATGCTTCCCATTCCCTAAGCAAAAGTAATCATTCTTTCCTTTTTACTCAATTCAATTAGCATACAAGAAATTAAAACCATGTTTATACATCTGCCCCCATTAAGCTATGCATTTACCGATGGCAGGCATGGACTTTGTCCTGTTTGTTATTTCCCCAGCATTGAACACTCTACTTGACCCATGTACCTGCTAACTAGTATTTGTTTTAATGAAAAAATTCATAACCAAATATATTTATTGACTTTTTTTTTTTTTTTTTTACCTGTTCTCACCACTTACATTGCTCCACCTTGATCCAAACCATCATTGCTTCCTAGCTAGTTTCTCTTCATCCATCTGCCTTCCCACAGTCTGTTACTGACATGGTTTGAATCCGTGTCCCTACCCAAATCTCTTCTGTAATTGTACTCCCCATGTGTCGAGGGAGGAACCAGGTGGGAGGTGATTGAATCATGGGGCAATTTTCTCCATGCTGTTCTTGTGATAGTGAGTGAGTTCTCACAAGATCTGATGGTTTAAAAGTGTGGCACTTCCCTTTGTCTCTCTTTCTCTCTCTCTCTCTCTCCTGCTGCCATGTGAAGAAGGTCCTTGCTTCCCCTTTGCCTTCTGCCATGATTGGAAGTTTCCTGAGGCCTCCTAGCCTTGCAGAACTGTAAGTCAATTAAACCTTTTTCTCTCCATGAATTACCCAGTCTCAGGTAGTTCTTTACAGCAGTGTGAAAATGGACTAATACAGTTACCAAAACACCAGGGATTTGGTCTAAGGCCCTGTTGCTCATCAAACAGAAAGCCAGTCACTGAGACAACAAGTATTGCCAAGGAAGAAGGCTTTATTCAGGTGCTGCAGGCAAGGACATAGAAAATCAGTCCCAAATCCATCTCTTCAACTCACTAAAATTAGGGGTTTATACAGCAGGAAAAAAAAAAAAAAGTAACCATGTGTGGGAAAACGGGAATTAGGGAGGGGTATGGAAGTAATCATGATGAATGAAGGGTCTGGAGTGTCATTGTCCAGATGCAGTGATCTGGTAAATTTCAGTTTCTTGATACTATCTGGGAGGCCTGATAATTGGTTTCCTGAGAAAGGAGCTCAGATAAGACAAATGTTAACTTTCTCAAGCTGTAAAACTGGGAGGGTCAATTTCTATGTTAATTCAAAATAAACCATGAGCATCTGTTCCATGGGATATTTGGGCTGGTTTTAAGTCTAGTCCGAGCAAAGCAGCCAGACTAATATACTTTACTCTCCAATGGCTTCTCAATACTTTCAAAGTAAAGCTCAAAGTCATTACAGTGTCCTCAAGGCATGAGTGATTGGGAGCCCATTGCCTCATGAATCTCATTTCCTCCAGCTCTTGTCCTCTAATACATCACTCCATTTGCACTGACTGTATTTTCATTCTTTGAATACACCAAGCATGCACTTGCCTCACAGCCTTTGCACTTACAGTTCTCACTGCCTGGCAATCTATTCACTCACACATCTGCACATCAACCTCTGCCACTTCATTTAGGTCTCTGCTTCGATACAAATTGATTACAGAACCCTCTCTGGTCACTCCATTTAAAATAACTCCACCACCAACAATATACTTCAGCTTTATTCTTCTTTAATTTCCTCTCTAGCAATCATCTCTACCTCCTTTGTATGCAATCTATTTAATTTTGCATTTACTTATTACTTGTCTTTCCCATTTGTATATATGCACTTAATAAATATGTTATCTGAATTAATATTATATTTAATGTTATGCTCTTTACAGGATAATAGTCTCTTCTTTTGGCTAATTAACAGTTTTAATTTACCTCTTGTCACCCCCATCCCTATAACTTTTCTCTTCCTTTGTTATCAGGGAAAACTTGAAATGGGACAAAACTGATAAACATATGTAAGTTAAAGAGTCATACTTAGTAGGTTATTCTGTTTATAGCATGAAGGCAGGGGTCCTAGGAAACATTATAAAGTAGGAAATTGGTTTTTGAGCCTCAGTTTTTTTATTCCTACATACCTCACCTTAGATACCTTTTTCATTTCCTGTAATCAGTACTCTGTATTCTTTTTCTTCAGTTTGATATTCTTAGTGAATCCCTTTCTGCTCACTGGCCCCTTCTTCTATATTAGACACTCATGGAAATACTTCTTGCTTTCTACCTACTGTGGAAAACTCTCAGAAAGCATCAAACATTCATGCATGCTAAATCTCGAGAGGATTTGAATTTTCCAGAGATTAAAATCTTAAAATAGAACACTAAAATTCTGCCATGGATTACAAAACATCAACAGGAATGAACAGGAGCTAAATTTTTTTAGGTTAGTCTTGTTAAACCTGAAATCGCAGTTCTAGGAGGTCATCTCCCCAGTGCTAGGTACTAAACAAAACCAAAAACTAATTAACCTTCTCAAGAGATGAGACCTAGCTTTGGTTAAATACTTAGAAGAGTGTCAGGCATACAGTACACATTATGTAAATGTGTATTATTTCTTTTTTTTAGATTAAAGATTTTTATGACTGTGGAATCTAATAAACTTTAGAAGAAAATTTTACAGAATTTCTACAGTTATGATTTTACTAAGCTAAATAGTTTCCTTGCTATTTTTCCCATGATATTCGTGTCTTTTCCTAGTACAAACTTCCTAGTAATTTTCTGCATATGTAGGTCATAATAAAATGGCACCCTCTTCCTAAGGCAATGGGGGCATTTTTAATAGAATTTTTGAAAGTACTTTCGCATGGTAACCTCAAGTTTCTCTTGGCCTTCATGTAGGGGAGTTGAGTGATTTGTCCAAGGTGACAGAGCAAGTTAGTGATGAATCATACCCAAGAACCATGTGGGAGGGTTCTTGGTGCTATATCGGCCTCATCTGGAAAGGTGATGTTACTCACCTACCACTTGCAGGACTTATATTTTGATTTCCTTTTCCAGAAACAATGATGGATTTGCTTTGATCCACCCCCAAATCCCTAGCTTCATTATGCCTGCAGAATAAGATTTTTTAAAACTATTCAATTAATTATGTAAGATCAGCAATTACATAAGACCTAGAGGTGACCAAGTGTTTTGACCTTCTACAATAAGATGCTCTAACCAACTCATCTGAACAGAAATCTGGCATGCAGGACAGCAATCAACAAAGTACCCGATAATTAGTTCCAGAAATACCTACCAATTAGAAGGGTCTGAACTTACAGTCCTAACAAATGTTTGGTTTTAGCTTTGGTTTTGCTAATTCTAGTTGTCATTCCTAAAATTTTTTAAAGTTATAGTGTATTTTTATTACACAAAAGTTTCTAGACGAGGGGCAAAGATTTTCTTAAAGCAATTAATAAATGATGAAATTGTCATAAATATTTTATGACTGAATTTGATTAAATCAAAATTGCATTTATGCATTGTGTGTTTTTAAAACAGTTTTTTTGGAACCCTAATTTAGTGAAGACTGTAGGAAAATAATTAAGTGCTAAGGAAATAGGGGAACTGAGGCAGAAAAGCTAATTCAGTGCTAAAGACTCCTGATTGAATCACCGAACAGGTCACAGATAAAATATATTTTTCCTTCTCAAATCCTTCCTTTACACAAGCCATTCATTTACGTGGGACACTGATGTCACATTAGCCATTGTAGATTATGACTGCTATTGGCAGCTTGAATTAAATTCCTATTAAACTTTAATTTAGAGATTTGTATCATATGTTTTCAGATCTCTGGAGTTGCTCCTAGAGGTGCTCTTCTGTAATTTGGGTAGGTAGGGATACAAAAGGCCCGCAAAATGTCTTTATTTTAGGCAGTATAAATTGCAGATGAGTTATGCTGTGTTCTCAAGAAATACTTTATAACTAAAATATAACTTTCCCATTATTTAAATAAAATTATATTGAATTCTCAAAATACAAGAAATACATAGAATATTTGGAGGGGAGAATATTAATACTCAAAATAAATTGCTACATGCTTTTCTCTAACTACTCTACCCTGTTCTCTTACGTTAAGAAATCAGGAGATGGTAAACAGTCTATAGATGCAATCATTTCTTGATCATTGACAAAATATAACTTCAAAGTAAACCAATTTGTTCTTTTCTTACTCCCATAGCACTTAATTTAATTCTCAACTGGCATATCATGCACTGGAATTCCTTTAGAAGACGATATCGTGATGCTAACTCAGTACTGAATACTGTGAAACACTGTATTGCAAAGTGTGTTCCATGGAGCAACAGCATCAGAGTCAGCTGGAGTAGCTATTAAGGGGCAGGTTTCTGGGTCCCAGCCTAAGCCTTCTGCATCAAATTTTCCAAGGCTGGAGCCCAGCAACCTGCATTTTTAATAGGTCCAGGCTGATTCATGTGCTAGGGAATTACTAACTTGCTGTTATAACTCTCATGTTTTTGCCTTAGAAACAGTAACAGAGCCCTCAGAAATAACGCCGCTTATCTACAACTATCTGATCTTTGACAAACCTGAGAAAAACAAGCAATGGGGAAAGGATTCCCTATTTAATAAATGGTGCTGGGAAAACTGGCTAGCCATATGTAGAAAGCGGAAACTGGATCCCTTCCTTACACCTTATACAAAAATCAATTCAAGATGGATTAAAGACTTAAACGTTAGACCTAAAACCATAAAAACCCTAGAAGAAAACCTAGGCATTACCATTCAGGACATAGGCATGGGCAAGGACTTCATGTCCAAAACACCAAAAGCAATGGCAACAAAAGACAAAATTGACCAATGGGATCTAATTAAACTAAGAGCTTCTGCACAGCAAAACAAACTACCATCAGAGTGAACAGGCAACCTACAAAATGGGAGAAAATTTTCGCAACCTACTCATCTGACAAAGGGCTAATATCCAGAATCTACAATGAACTCAAACAAATTTACAAGAAAAAACAACCCCATCAAAAAGTGGGTGAAGGACATGAAGAGACACTTCTCAAAAGAAGACATTTATGCAGCCAAAAAACACATGAAAAAATGCTCGTCATCACTGGCCATCAGAGAAATGCAAATCAGAACCACAATGAGATACCATCTCACACCAGTTAGAATGGCAATCATTAAAAAGTCAGGAAACAACAGGTGCTGGAGAGGATGTGGAGAAATAGGAACACTTTTACACTGTTGGTGGGACTGTAAACTAGTTCAACCATTGTGGAAGTCAGTGTGGCGATTCCTCAGGGATCTAGAACTAGAAATACCATTTGACCCAGCCATCCCATTACTGGGTATATACCCAAAGGACTATAAATCATGCTGTTATAAAGACACATGCACACGTATGTTTATTGCGGCATTATTCACAATAGCAAAGACTTGGAACCAACCCAAATGTCCAACAATGATAGACTGGATTAAGAAAATGTGGCACATATACACCGTGGAATACTATGCAGCCATAAAAATTGATGAGTTCATGTCCTTTGTAGGGACATGGATGAAATTGGAAATCATCATTCTCAGTAAACTATCGCAAGAACAAAAAACCAAACACCGCATATTCTCACTCATAGGTGGGAATTGAACAATGAGATCACATGGACACAGGAAGGGGAATATCACACTCTAGGGACTGTGGTGGGGTGGGGGGAGGGGGGAGGGATAGCATTGGGAGATATACCTAATGCTAGATGACGATTTAGTGGGTGCAGCGCACCAGCATGGCACATGTATACACATGTAACTAACCTGCACAATGTGCACATGTACCCTAAAACCTAAAGTATAAAAAAAAAAAGAAAGAGTAAAAAAGGAAAATATTAGAGTAAAAGAAACCCCTCAACTGTTGGCAAAAGCATTAGATAAGCAATGTTCTGTGTAGCAAGAGCCTAAACAATGTAATAATATTACAGGTATAAAGTAAGGCAACACTTTCTATAGAACATTGTTAAAAACATACACTTCCTGGTATAAAATACCTCCCTGAGAAGGGAAAAAATGAAAATGGAAAAGGTAGTAAAGAAATAAAACAGCAATTGATCATTGATCACACACATACCAGAGATCACTTCCCCTACACATTTTTCTAAGTTTTGCTTTGTATAAATCATGAATGCAAATGAATGTCCTTTAATCATTGTATATTTTTTAAATTTGATTCCTGAATTTTTTAATTGAAAATTCTAGCTATGAAAATAATTAATATTTAATTGGAAAAATTCCCCATGTTACATCTTGAGTTAAGATAATATGAACACTTGGGCTGAGTTAAATATAAATACTGTGCATGAACAAAACAAACAAAGCAATGTGAGGGAGAAAAAGAGAGAAGCAGATTGAAAGAAACATAGACAAAAGTAGAAGAGTAAGCTTCCTTGAAAATATGTAACTCACATTGACCTGGCATAGGTTTTCAGAGCAATGTTTTTCAAAGATAAAACAATCCTCTTGAAAACTTTTCCACAATGGAATGACACAAAAGAAAACTATGTGTGTGTATATGGGAGTGGTGGTCACCAGAAAATATCTAAGAAAATGAAACACTTTCTAGTTCTAAGCTCCTGCTGTAATGAAATCGTGACATTTATGGATTTAACATTCATAGTTTTGAGTATTGTTGAGTGATGTGAGTCCCTGGCATGCAGTAATCTGTAATTTTAATGAGGCACTATTTGAATTGCATGTGTTGAAACACTGAGGTGTCAGACACAGTCCTGCAGTCTGTTTGAGCACCTAAGCACTGCCTGGCAATGATTGTTGTTACACATGTGTAATAATGCTTATGCAGTGACACAAACTGCACCACCTTTCCTGACACCGAAAAGTTAGCTTTTAGAGCTGGTGATAGACATAAAGAAAAAGTCAAAAAAGCGAAAGAAACAGATAGCTCTATGAAAAAGCAGAATTTTTAAATTAAAGAATTGCATATCTTTCTCACGCCTGTAATCCCAGCACTTTGGGAGGCCGAGGCGGGTGGATCACGAGGTCAGGAGATTGAGACCATCTTGGCCAACATGGTGAAACCCCATGTCTACTAAAATACAAAAAAAAAAAAAAAAAAAAGAAAAGAAAAACTTAGCCAGGCATGGTGGCGCATGCCTGTAATCCCAGCTACTTGGGAGGCTGAAGTAGGAGAATGGCTTGAACCCGGGAGGCGGACGTGGCAGTGAGCTGAGATCGAGCCACTGAAATCCAGCCTGGTGACAGAGCAAGACTCCGTCTGAAAAAAAAAAAAAAAAAAAAAGAAAGAAAGAAAAAGAAAAAGAATTGCATATCTTGGATAAATAGAAACTCAGTTTGTGATACACAAAGAAGACTAGAGCCTACCAGTTAAGCATGTGAACTTTGGAGCCATACTTCTTGATCCTAATCAAACTGATTTCTGATAAATTCCCAGAAGTGAGTACCTTAGTTTGTTTCTCATCAGTAAAATGATGATAATGATAGTGTATCTCTCAAAGCCTTATTTATGAGAGTTTAAACCAGTAAACATTTATAAAGGACTTACAAATAAGTACTTACAAATAAGTAAATATTCATTTACTTTATTTGGACTTTAAACGAGTTAATATTGGACTTATTTGGACTTTAAATGAGTAAATATTTATAAAGGACCAATAACGTTTGGTGCAAAAGTAATTGTGGTTTCAGACCATGAATTTTAACTCATTATAACTAGGCTCAAACATCTTTATTAATCAAAATAGGAACCATTACAATCAACACATTTTTGCCAATGAGAAGTAAATTTGTTCATTCCTGTAGCATAGAAATCTGTGCTTCGGGATTCAACGGACTCTTGGAAAGCATTTTCTGCATTCTGCTGGTTATGGAAGTGTTTTCCCTGCAAAAAGTTGTCGAGATGCTTGAAGTGAAGAAGTGGTAGTCGGTTGGCCAGAGGTCAGGTAAATATGGCGGATGAGGCAAAACTTCATAGCCCAATTCATTCAACTTTTGAAGTGTTCGTTGTGCCATGTGTGGTTGGGCATTGTCCTGAAGAAGAATTGAGCCCTTTCTGTTGACCAATGCCAGCTGCAGGCATTGCAATTTTTGGTGCATCTCATCGGTTTTCTGAGCATACTCCTCGGATGTAATAGTTACTCTGGGATTCAGAAAGCTGTAGTGGTGTAGTGAATCAGACCGGCAGCAGACCACCAAACAGTGCAAGGCTGTGTGTGTGTGTGCACACGCGCGCGCGTGCAAGTTTGGCTTTGGTAAGTGCTTTGGAGCTTCTTCTGGGTCCAACCATGGAGCTGATCATGGCTGGTTGTCTTACAAAATCCACTTTTCATCCCACATCACAATCTGATTGAGAAATATTTCATTGTTGTTGCATAGAATAAGAGAAAACAACACTTCAAAACAACAATTTTTAAAAAAATTTCAGTCACTCATGAGGCACCCACTTATTGAGCTTTTTCACCTTTACAATTTGCTTCAAATTGCAAATGACCATAAAATGGTAGACGTTGAGTCCTTCAGCAGCTTCTCATGTAGTTGTAAGAACATCGGCTTTGACAATTGAACCACCACTGCACTGTACATTCATTAGCAGTTTCTGGACCACATGTGTTGTTGATGTTGTGAGTTGTCTCTGCTGCTTTAGGACTCATTTTCAACTCGAATAAGAAAATCACTCAAATGGCTGAGTGCAGTGGCTCATGCCTGTAATCCCAGCCCTTTGGGAGGCTGAGGCAGGTGGATCACCTGAGGTCAGGAGTTTGAGACCAGCCTACCCAACATGGTGAAGCCCTGTCTTTACTAAAAATACCAAAAAAGTAACCAGGTGTGGTGGTGGGCGCCTGTAATCTCAGCTACTCAGGAGGCTGAGGCAGGAGAATTGCTTGAACCCAGGAGGTGGGGGTTGCAGGGAGCTGAGATCATGCCACTGCACTCCAGCCTGGGCAACAGAGTGAGACTCTGTCTCAAAAAAAAAAAAAAAAAAAAAAAAGAAAAGAAAAGAAAGAAAGAAAAAGAAAATTACTCGAATTTGCTTTGTGTCTAACATCATTTCCGTAGTCTAAAATAAACATAAAATAAACAGCAAGTAATTAGTCATTAGCAAAAAAAAAAATAAAGCAAGAAATGCCCATTAAAATGATGTATAACAAAACCACATTTATTTAATAATGTATTCCAATATCAAATGGCAAATTCCAACAAGGCAAAAACTGCAATTACTTTTGCACTAACCTATAGAAGTGTCAGGGACATGGTGCCGTATCAGTGTTTATTTAAATAAATTCAGATAGAATTAGTATGACTGTTTCAGGGCATGTTCTAGAAAGGGCATCTGGAGAAAGACAGATGTTCTCTCTTTCTCTCATCAAGTGAGAGAGAAAGACTTAGTAACATTTGCAAAGACAATTTGTGTAGGAGGCATGTGTATCTTGAAGGAAATATTACTTTCAAAAATGACAGGAGTGAATAGACAATATCATTTTTGTGATTCTGGAAGTTTTTACAGGAGGAATCCTCTCTGAAGAACAAACATTTACTTTATTTTATATTGGGTTGATAAGGACAATCAATGATTTCAATCGAGAAAAGTTTTATGTGCTAAAAATTATGGAAAGAACTTCATGGAATACTCAGTTGATTAAAAAATGCATACATCTGCCTTGAGGATGAATAAACTTTATTTTCCTGGAACAACATTATCTAGGGGACACACATATTGTCTTGAGCTTCCTCTTTTTGCTTTGTCAAGTGCATTCCTTGGCACTTGACAAATAAATGAAAATAACTATAATAATAACTTGACTCTACACAGTCCATTTTTTCAAGAAGCTGTATGAGCATAAAGCATACATTCTCCCCGTTCATTCTGCCAGTCAGTCAGTGAGGCTGGCCTTTAAATAGGACTCTGGTGCATTCCAATTTGCAGGTAAGCATTACTTGTTGTTGGGAATGCTCTCCAGAGATGAAGACTGCAGGTCCTGTGCTATGTGAAAGAATAAAGCAGATTTCAAAGAATGGTGATGTGATCCAGCAAACCCACTATCATTAGACTGAAATAAATGGGAGCATTTCAATTAAACTCACAGTCTGAAAGGTAATTTAAATTCCTCTTTTCTCCAGATTGGTGTGTATAAATGCTCAATTTTTATTCTTAACTTTGCTAGGATTAGTAACATCAATACATAATACAGGTGGCAGCTAAATGCTTCATTTGTTCAGGACAGAGCTCTATACTCATAAACCACTGCACCGAGCCCCCCATGTCCAAATGCAATTTCCCTCTTAAGCAATTCACCTTAAGATAACGATTTCCCTACAGTTGTGTTTAAATCCTAGTTTTAACAAGTCCATGTGGCTTGTTGTAAAAAAATATGTAACTTGAGATACAAATGATACATGGTGGCTGATCTCATTGATCTTCATAACCAAGGTATCTCATTGCTCTTTACAAGGAAATATAAACGTCATGTGAGATCAGTCACCCTAGATTCCCCTCAGCAGTCAAGGAATGCATGCTGTTCCTGCTCCTTCTCTTCTCCAGGACTGAAATACTTTTAGGAGACTATTCTGAGTGACATACAATCAGAAAATGATTCAAGCTGTGATCCCTGGCTAAATTCTTGTTACCATCTGTATGCAGTTTAATAACTAGCAGCAGGGCCCAATAGCTGTCCTCTCACCGGGCTGTTGGCCGCCTACCTGATTCCACTATTGCCAGCAATATGCTGTTGGAAAGACCAAAGTGGTAGCTAAGGCCACCCTCTCCTTCAAGGTTTACATAAAATTAAAACTGAAATTGAATATTTTCCTTATATCTCTGAGAATTTCTGGGGCCTAAATCTTTGTGGCCGCTTCCAGCTCTGAATTTCTTGTTTCCTGTTGCTTCCAAGACTTATGTCTTGTAGCCATTCCTTCTGCTCTGTGAAGGTCCAGATGTGGAACTGAGGCCCTTTCTCTGATTTGTCCCAACCTGCTGCACTAAAGGTTTGCAGCACCAGAGGCTTTTATTCAATTTAGAATGTTTACATTTTAGTATAGACACTTAGACACTGCTCAGCCTCCTCTCTTTTAGAAAGCTCTCTCCTTTCTCAGATGCCCCTGTTTATTATGTACAGCATTTAGCTTACCATTCTGACTCAATCCAACATCTGACACTAGATGTCTACCAGTCCTGCTAAGTGTCTTCTGCTCCAAATAATGCAAAAGAACTAGTAGATGGTTTGAAGTTTTGGAATTTCCTTTTTTTCATAGTAGTCTCTGTACATGTTTCCCTGATTACTTCTCCCTCCTATATATATTCATACTGAGCCATTTACAGCAGGGGTAATAAGTAATACCCTTTAGGGACATTTGAACTAACAAAGGGTTTTGAATCCTTTGACTTCAGTGTCAAGTCTGCTATAAAAATATTTTAGGTGGTCCAAACTAATTGAGTCAAACAACTGACTACCTTCCTTCCTTCCATTTGTCCTCTTTCTTCCTTCCTCCTTTTTTTGCATAACCACTAAAACCAATTTTCAAATTTTATTCCAATTTGTAGGAGCGAAGGAAATCTGGGTCATATAAATGTATATCTATAATTTCTAAAATCCCAGATCCTTTCAAGAATATTTCTGTAAATGTATTTCCGTAAATGTATAGAGCCCAGATTTTAGTTATTGTTTCATGTGTCTTTGTGAATTGAACTTCAGTTTCTAACTCCAAACAGACAAAATAGAATTGGCATTGTTCACACATTTAATAAAGTATTCAAAATTGCACGTAAATTTAATGTCTTATATCCTATGTTTTCCCAGGCCATGGCCAACAAAATGGGATCACAGTAACATTGGCAAAAATATAATATCTCTAGTTCTGCTCCTATTTGCTTGACAAAAACTCTATGTATCTCAAATGCCCCCTAAATAATTCCTAAAATCATATCTCACCTTTTTCTCAGCAACCACCTGAACAGGGACCACTTTCATCCTCTCCTGCTCAGGTCTGGGTCCCTGGAGCAATGTCTGCCACTGAGGATCCTGATGCTACAACCAAAGGTACCATGACTTGTGCCTGGACTCCTTGCTCTGCTCCATCTTCTTTTGATTCTAAATGGAGATAAGCAAGGCTTTCTGTTCAGGCTGTCCTGAGCTGTACTCATTTTCCCATCTTTAGTAAGCCTTTGTGACATGATCAGCAAGTCAGGTTTATTGCCTATGTTTTCTCTGTCTTGCTGTGATTTTAGTAAAACAGCTCTTTTTTTATTATTATTCTCACATGTAATCTCCTTCCAAAATGTACAGTGTATTAGACTGGAATACAGGTATAGGTCCTGTTCTCAGCTCCAGCTGGCCCACTGCTTATTCTGCTCCTTCTCTAGGAAAGTCTTGTGCCCTTCTGAGGTCCCCAGAGATCCTCCCCATGGGACTTTAAAGATGTCCAGATCTTGAATTAATGAGCCCACAGAGCAAGTCTTTATTACCTTTAGCACCACAGGCTTAGAAAAAATGGTAGGAACACTACCATTTGACCCAGAAGTCGCATTACTGAGTATATACCCCTGCCTATATATATGTGTATATATATATATATGTATATATAGGCCTATATATACATATATATATGTATAGTTCTACCAAAAAATGCACTCATATGTTCACCACAGCACTATTCATAATAGTAAAGACATAGAATCAACCCAGATGCCCATCAGTGGTGAACTGGATAAAGAAAACATGCTACATACACATCCTTGAATACTACACAGCCATTAAAAAAAAGAATGAAATCGTGTCCTTTGTAGCAACATGGATGCAGCTGGAGGCTAATTTCCTAAGTGAATTAACGCAGGAACTGTAAACCAAATACCATATGTTCTCACTTGTAAGTGGGAGCTACACATTGAGTACACACCAACACAAAGATGGGAACATTAGACACTGGGGACTACCAAGGCAGGGAAGGTGGGAGGGGGCAAGGGTTATAGAAGGTGGCTTGGCAATCTTAGGTGGTAGGTAACAAATTCTATTTTTAAATGTTTAAACAGTATTTAAGTATTGTTAAATGTGTAAATTTATTAAATGTTTTACTTCTAATTTCTTATATTTTGGACTATGCTCACTACCTGGGTGACAGGATCATTCATACACCAAACCTGCATATGTGCCCCCTGAACCTAAAAGTTGAAAAAAAAATCATAGGAATATGAAGTTGCCTCATACCAGTTTTCAAACTGTTTCATATAACCTCAGCATCATTGTGCAACTGTTTAAACCATTGAAGTTATGAGGGAGGTTACCTTTGTGATGCTATAAGGTGTCTATGTTTCTTCTTCATGGTCAATGTGCATTGAAAATGTTTTAAAATAATGAAATCTTAGAATCATAAAAATGTTTATTATTTTATTTCATTTTTTTCTGTTTTCATCTTGGCAATCTGTTCAGTGCAGTGTGGTCTCTGCATATTTACAATATCCATTTACAATATCCTTGCTTTTCTCTTTAGTGTCCCAAGATACAATAATAGAGCCTATGTCTACACACACCAAAGTAAGTGATAGATTAAAAGACAAATGTTATCAGATGTTTGAACAACTGTTTACCTGTGCCAAAATGAACTGATTAAATGGCCATGTTCTTTAAAAGAAAAAAATGCCAAAGTACAAAAGCTAAGAGAGTCATAAAGAAAGAGCCATTTTCTATTTCCTAATATTTCTTTATACACAGAAGCAATGGTAGGACAAAAGATGTGTCAAAAAGATGATTTCTATGTAACATTTTAAAATGTAAATCTGGGGATTATCTGAATATTCAATTTTTTTTTTTTTTTTTTGAGACGGAGTCTCGCTCTGTTGCCCAGGCTGGAGTGCAGTGGCATGATCTCGGCTCACTGCAAGCTCTGCCTCCCGGGTTCACGCCATTCTCCTGCCTCAGCCTCCCAAGTAGCTGGGACTACAGGTGCCCGCCACCACACCCGGCTAATTTTTTGTATTTTTAGTAGAGACGGGGTTTTGCTGTGTTAGCCAGGATGGTCTAGATCTCCTGACCTCGTGATCCGCCTGCCTCGGCCTCCCAAAGTGCTGGGATTACAGGCATGAGCCACCGCGCCTGGCAGAATATTCTATTTGTATGTTCAGGAGACAAAGAATTATTTTCTCCACATTATATGCTTTTGTCAATGCCATTAAAATTGATCTCTTCCTGTTCACCAAATGTGACTAATAATTTAAGGTAGCTCAACAATAATTACTTCTCCTATGTGTAACTCCTGAATAAAAGATACACAGATTTTCAAAAAGATAGGTTATAGTAAGTTTATGGTGGAGAAACCTGGCAGACAGTTCCTTAACCAAGTAATAAGCCATCCGACAGCATATGTCCCCTGATATGGTATGAAGAAAAGGGCACAACACCTGTGTGGCTTTCTTCTTCAAACTATAACCTCAGAACATTCATGAGAAAATATAAGGAAAAACCCAAACTGAGAGACATTCTACAAAATACTTGACCAGGACTCTTCAAAAGTACCAAGGCCATGAAAGGGAAGAGCAGGAAATTGTCACGGATCTGAAGAGACTAAGGAGACATAATGACTAAGTGCAATGTGGTGTCCTAGCTATGTAGGAAAAGAACACAGTGGAAGAACTGTGAAATCTTAATGAAGGCTATAGTTTGGTTAACAGTATTGTGCCAATGTTCATTTCTTAGCTTTTGTAAGTGTATCAAGGTTATGTAGAAAGTTAACATTAGAGGAAGCTGGGTGAAGTGTATAGAGAAATACTCTGTGCTATCTTTGCAACTCTTCTATAAAGATAAAATTATTTCAAAATAAAATGTTTATTTTAAAATGAACTTGTAAGTCTGAGAGATTATTTATAAGTTTGTTAATTCATGATAACTAAGTAAAATATCAAGAGTGGGATGCAAGAATTTCAGTTCTGGTATATATCTATATCTATATCATCTATATCTACCCCTAAAGATAGAGAGAGACACACACAAATAGTCACACACACACACACACACACATTAGCTTTTTTAATAAGCATGAGATGGCAGGGATGGGAAGTGTGTTCTGCTTTAGTGCAGGCAATAAGATTCACATAAACTTTAAAGTCCTGATGAAATCTAAGATTTCTATTTAATATTTATGATAATTTTTTCTTTCCTAAGCCCATTAGCTCACTTCTCCATAATGCATCAGTTCAGAGTGACATCTATAAAAGTGTTTCTTGCCAGATTTTTCCCTCTAAAATTCTTATTCCTTATCCCATCTGGCTTTGCAAATACATAATATATGTATGTTGCATCACATTATTTAAAGCAGCTTCCAATGACATTCACTGACTGCAAGCATGCCTTAACTGTTCCAACATCTGATGCAAATGGCTTCTTTAATTCTCCTTGGATCAAGCCACTCATCTTTGGGTCTGATTGTTGCTGATCATCATCTGTGGAGCAGTCTGCTCTACTTTTCTTCCATCTGTTCAGGCTCAGGCAAGCTTACTGTTGAGCAATTCCATTTCTTGCCATTGCCAAAATGGGTTTTATTTTATGTAATTTTACACAGCCGAACTGCTCCCCTGACAGTAGCCACCCCACTAGATCCAAGCCCGTCAAACTCATTGTAATAGCAATGGAAGAGATAAAGCCAAGACTCTTTAAGTGTTGATGTCAGGACACAAAGATGCAAACCCTCAGAGTACACGTTTCTGTTTGCTTACCATCCAGGATTAGATGACCAATTCAGAAAAAGTGGAGGTACCACATTATCATCTGTGATATTCATTCAGTTAAATTTAAAATCCCATTACAAAGATAATATTTGATCTTAACCATAAATACCATACATCTCGCCATGTTTGGGGACTATGAAGTAGTAATGGTTTTTAGGATATACAAATCTCTCGATGAATATCAACTTAAGATGAGCTTGTATCTTTTTTTTCCTTTTGACGGAGGATGAAAGTGACTGCTCACTTTTTGCATTACACTCTGCAGCTTTCAAAGTGATTTGATAATATGTATGCATCCAAAAAATTGGGAATAAAATATTTTAGGAATTTACCAAATGACTAGCAACTTTGAGAGAACGTACTGATGTATGGCTGTTCTCTTGTACTGATATTTAAAGGAAGAAAAATGGGGCAGTCTTGTTCTCTTCTCTGAGACTGGGAAGGAGACATTGCATTAGTCCTTGTTTTCTCTTAATAAGATTATGTGGGAAGTCCGAGACCAGATAAAAATATGATATTGTCATTGGTAAAATATTCTTTTCCTTTATCTACATCACATCTGAAAATAATGATACTGCAAATGTCATTTGTTTTGTGTTTTGTCTTATATTTTTCTCTTAAACTCTCATGTGATTTTGATCTAATAAAAACATAACTCAGGAAAATAAATCAATGACAATATACATTTCATCAAAATGAACTTGTGATATTTTACATAATTCAATAACTCTCTAGTCAACCGCTGAAAGACATAATATTCCCTTGGGCACAGATTCACATTCTTAGAGTAAGTGCTCACATAACTGATAGGCAACACAAAGAAACACACCAAGAATGTTCTTGGGGAAGAGAATATCCCAGCAGTGTATGGTCTTAGGCACTCGGCCTGTTTGACCCAGAAGAAAACAAAATGGGCCTGATGTGCCCAATATATAATTCATCAACAGTGAGCACTTCATTTCTAATCTCTGCCAAAGCAGAAACAACCAATCTAACTACCATTCCTTGCTATGCCTTATAACAGAAACAGGGTAAAGTAGTCATCCGTCCTCTAAAATGATATAAGAGGTAAATAAGAAATAATATAAAGTTATTAGGAGACTGGTAGGAAAATGTATAAATGTATTGTTGACATTAAATAAAGGAAGCTTAATATGTATAGATTGTTATGCAGAAATTACATTGAAGTAACGAAGTGCGTATTTCTGTTACACTGTTGGTTAATGTGGCACAGATGGCTAGTGTCCAACAAAACTTTATACTCTCTTCCATATGGAAAATTCAGTACTGTAAGCTATTGGCTCACCAAAACACTACATTTTCCAGACTGCCCTTATATCCAAGAACCATGTAATTAGTTCTCCCCAGTGGAAGTCACTTCCATGCTGGGATTAAAAAAAAAAATTATCCATCATCTCTGTCTCTTGAACTAAGGGTCCCCAAGTGATGTCAAAGCCACAAAATGGAAGGAACCTAGGTCCCTGATTTACTACATGGAGGAAACTTCCTACCTCCAGGACCACCAATGTAGAATTGTTAAGCTTGTCGGGAATAAGCTTTTATCACATTAAAATGCTAAATTTACAGTTAAGTGTTACAGCAAAAATCATTACCCTATCTTACACAGTCAGGTATTGATCCATCAACACATTAAGATAAATAGGTATAAAAAAGTCAGCATCATCGATAATTATATCCTATGAAACCTTCAGTGTAACGGAGATATAATAAGCAGAAGACAAACTCTTTTAATTTAATAAACATATAATTAAATATAGAAGCAAGAAAGGTAAAAATGCCATTAATAAATATGCCATCACATAAGGAAAGTGCTGAAGTAATATGACATTTAAATGTGGGTTCATAAAAACCTTTGCCTTTTTGAAAAGAGATGTCTAAATTATGCTTTATATGGTGAGAAGAATTGTAATCTTGGACTTAATACCTAATTGCCTGATGCGGACTTGTACCAGATATGATATGCTATTTTAAGGATCAATGGTAGAAGGAGCTGAACTCCCACTACATAAATGAGCCCTCCTATCTATTCTTAATATTTAGTTTGCCACCTGGCCACTGTGATTAATCCCCAGCCCACAGAGTGTCACTAATTTGGCTACTTGGTAACAATCTGGCTTTCTGTTTCCCAGACGATTGTTTTGGTCATTTAACCCACACTAAAAGACAGAACACAGATCTCTTTGTCATTCTCTCAATATCACTATCCTCTTTTCTCACATTTTCTGCAGAGACCATTGTTGGCAAAGTCACCTAAGATCTCCAGGGTCTAAAGCAAATCCCTTATTAAAAAATCTATTGAAGAATAATTGGGCAGAAAAATATGAACTCGATGTGTAAAAGATCATGACTTCCATTTCTTGAACTATGAGGACTAAGCACGAGGTGTAATAATTAATCTTTCTTGTGGGATCTCTCTTTGGTTACTCAGGTTCCTACTTTAATTTTTCTTCTCTGATAAACATTGAGAAACAATTCAACTCAGATTTCCCTTAACCTAGCAATTTCTAATTCCGCAGAGACTACATCCTTTCACACAGGCCCCAAACTCTCCCCATAGGCTTTAGAGGGCCTAAAACATGCCCAAGGCTCCCTGGAGTCTGTCTTGCGAAGGAGAGAGGTTATTTCAGAGTTAAGGGGCAAAGTGGGAAGCAATGCTTTAAATAGTGAAAAGGAGGACCATCACCCCATTCTCCCTACCATACTCTGCTCTTTCTTTTCCCCATCGCGTTGATCATATTGGATCACATCACACCATGCTGTCTATTGTCTCTTCCCCTACTGGAATGCTAACATTATAAGGGGAAACATCTTACTCCGTTTGGTTCACTTACATATCCCAAGTCTCAAGTGTGCAGATTTTCCCTAGCACATAGTAGACACTTAACAAATGTTTTCAGAAAGAATAAATGGATGAATGTCAAAGCAAGCACCATTCACGTCACCACAATTTCAAGAAAGGGCAAGTCATATTCCCATGAGCAGGTCTATTCTAGTCTTATCAAGACTAATGTGGTAAGATGTTTATTGCTGTGTCTCTGAGTTCTTCCTCCACCTCTTATTTCAAGCCAAAAGGAAAACTTTGTAATCTTGCTTTCTGGAATTTGGCACAGGAGAAGGCAACAAAGGCCTGTAGTCAATAGCTTGGCTTGTTTTTTGAAAATGCATCAGGGCCATTAAAGAGAGTAGGCCAGATGCCCCGGCGGAGAAGGTCAGAGGAAGGACAGCCTCATGGTAGAACAAAGTGAAAGTCCTTAGGTTGAGAAGGGACTAAGTTCTGTGGGTTCCAGGATAAGCAATGACAAAAGAGGTTCACTCAGTGGTTTGGCATCTCTTAAAACACTGAAACATTGGCACAACATAAGAGGGTAGAGGCACACCAGCTGCATTTGATTTTTCCCTTTAGTTGAATAGAGATTTAGAGCTAAGCTTTTTAAGTAAATAATATGAGATTTTTTGCATACCTGAGATTATGAGCTCTAAATTCTGCTACACAAATATTATGCTATCTCAGGTCTTGAGAACCTAAGAACTGAAGATTGATTTGGCTATTTTCTGGATTTCAAATGATTTATCAAAGGCCAATAACCTAGATAAACATCTAATGACCTTTTGGTCTAAAAAAGTCCCTTGGATTTGTGATTAGCTGAAATCTATGACCTGGAAGTTCTAAAACTAGCTTGATCCCTCCAGCGTAATTAACCACAGAAAATATCTCATGTTGGCAACCAGAAGATAATGTTAACAATACCATCTGCTTCTCTTTATATTCTCTTCTCATCCTGGTACTCAAGTTTCACTAAACTGGCCTGGCCTAAAAGGAGAAAATGAGAAGTACAGTAGCAGACACTGAGAGGAATGAATAAGACTCGCAGATAACTTTTCTTTTCTTTTTTTTTTTTTTTTTAAGATACAGTGTTACTCTGTCACCCAGGCTGGAGTGCAGTGGCGTGATCTCGGCTCACTACCACCTCCACCTCCCGGGTTCAAGCGATTCTCCTGCCTCAGCCTCCCGAGTAGCTGGGATTACAGGCATGTGCCACCACACCTGGCTAATTTTTGTATTTTTAGTAGAGATGGGGTTTCACCATGTTGGCCAGGCTGGTCTCGAACTCCTGACCTCAGGCAATCTGCCCACTTCGGCCTCCCAAAGTGTTGGGATTACAGGCGTGAGCCACTGCACCCAACCAGAAAACTTTTAATTATATAATCAGGTACTTGAATTTAATGCCAAAAACAACTTAAAATGTTTAAAAAGGATACTGATATGTTTAAGTGGGAAAAAGATCTTTAATATATATTCAGACCATTTTGGGGAAATGGACAGGCAGTTGGAGTGGTGAGAAAGATTCTATACAAGTTCTTACAACAAATGTTAATGTTTGTAAAATATATTAGCAGAAAGACTGAGGAAGAGAGAGTGAGAGAAAAGGTGAGAGACAGAGAATGGGAGAGGAAGGAAGGAAGGAAGGAAAGAAGGAAGGAAGGAAGGATCTTAAGGGACTAGACTGAGTTTTATACCTGATTTTCCAAGTAGAAGAAAATGTATGAGTCCACAATTAGTGGACCTGAAAAACATTTGAAAGAATGTTCTTTCTGAGACAGGAAGGAAAACCAAATGTGACGTTTTCAGAAGGGAATAATTTAATTAAATTAGAAATAACAGCTGCCCTCATTAGGAAATTTCTAAAGGCAAGGAGTATTAGATAATAATTATGGAAGAGAGTTTAGAACAACAAGGACTAATCCCTGTAGTCCATCCCTGTAGATTTCACCACCTACTCATATATATTCCCAGGACCGAAGGAAGGGTGAGGAGCCAGGAAGGGGAGGGTATCCCTGATTCCTCTTAAAGACTGAATCTCAGTCAAAGAGAACTTTCTTTCCTATTAAAATATCAGCTCATGGGTGAAGCATTCCTAATTTCTCCATATTTTTCCATGCACTCCCTCCTTCTACACACTTTAGGTTCCTTTGTCATCCATAGAACTTTGTGTAGGCCCCTATTCAGCAATAGCAATTGTGGATAGTCCCTTTTCTAGGGTTCCTCTCTCACCCAGCAGTGGAAGCTTGAAGACAGGGGCCATAACTTATTCCACTCTGTATTCCCAAGAGTCATTTACTTATAAAATACTTATGAAGCATCTATTATTTGCCAGACCCTCTGCTAGGTAGGGACGATGGAATGTCTAATAAGACCAGAAAGATCTCTGGCCTGCTGAAGATTACATTCTACAAGGAATAAACAAAAAAAAAAAGAAAGAAAAATAAAGAACAACATTGAATTATTTTGAATTACAATAATTTGTATGATTAAAAAAAAAAAAGGCCTGGAGTGGTGGCTTGGTGGCTTATGCCTGCAATCCCAATCTTTTAGGAGGCTGAGGCAGGCAGATTGCTGGAGGCCAAGAGATTGAGACCAGTTTGGGCAACATAGCAAGACTCTGTCTCTACAAAAGGTGAAAGAAAAAAAAACACTAGCTGGATATGATAGCACACACTTTTAGTCTAGTTACTCAGGAAAGTGAGGCAGGAGGATCACATGAGTTCAGGAGGATCACATGAATTCAGGAGACTGAGTTGCACTCCAGGCTAGGTGACAGGTGACAGAGCAAGACTCTGTCAAAAAAAAAAAAAAAAAAAAAAAAAAAGGAGATGAGGAAATGAGGAATTGCAAAGGAGCAGAGCAAAGGAGCGACTTCTTTAGGTAGTATAATCAAGGCAAGTCTCTCTGAGAAGGAATAATTTAAATTGAGATTTGAAGAAAGAGAAAGAACTGTCTATGCAAAAGGTGTGTGCATGTGGGTGGCAGGGGGCATCTAAGCAGAAGAAAGAGCATGTGCAAAGGCTCTGAACAAGATAAAACTTGATGTGCTTATGTAATTAAATGCCAGTGAATATGAACAAGGGGAGTGAAGAGAGCAGGGCATGGGATAGGGTGGGGAGGTAGACAGTCTTGGAAGTCACGGTAAGAAATTTGGATTTTATTCCAAGAACAATGGAAGACCATTGCAGTATTATAGGCATGAAAGTGACATTATCCAATTTGGATTTTGAGAAGAGCACTTTTGTATGAGGAACAGACTTGTATGGGAGGCAGATTTAGGAGGTTTTTTAAAATATCCCAAAGACAAATGTTAAATTCTTGAACCAAGAGGTAAATAACAGAGATGGAGAGAAAAAGTTAAATCCAAGATATATTTTAGCCATTAGCTTCCCAGAGTGTCCTGAAGGCCTGAATATAAGCATTGACAGAAAGAGTAAGGAATCCAAGATGAGTTTCAGGCTGAGCAACTATTTAGAACATAGAGATGTTCTAAAATTTAGAACATTTTTGTGGTAGTAGAAGGAACAGATGGGTACAGGTTGGGGAGGGTAGAGTGGAAAGAAGTCAAGAGTTCCATTATAGTAATTTGACAAACATGTGAGCCATCCAAGCGCAGATGTCAAGCAAACAGTTGCATAGGCTGGTTTGGAGCAGGGAGGAAATTTAGCCTGGGTGGAACATTTGGGGTCACCAGCATAAGATGTAATTGAATTTATAGCAATTACCCAAATATAGAATATATGAAAAGAATTCAGTATCTTTCAGCTTGCATACTGCACATTTGTTGAATGAGGACTAGAATCCGGACCAATAAGGTAAAAGTTCCTGCCTCCATCCCTGGCCTTCTACAACCACCCTCCATTCGACTTTCTCCATGCCAGTCACCTACCTTGATTTCCACATAGTATCTGCTACTTAACTTCCCACATATCCCATTAATTCAGTTCAACTCTTTCATATCATGTCCTAAGGAGACCCTGCAGAACAAATAGCCTTACTCCCCAGTGCCAGGATTCCTATCCTTCATATTTTGATCTATCTTACTGACAGTGGGTTTGTGATTCTTATAAGAACACAAGCAAAAATATATTTCCAGATGGTTCTCGAAATTAACGGAGACGGTGAGACCATTGGCAAGTATGTTTAAAGAAAAATAAATAAATAAATAAATAGTCTAGAGTAGCCAGGCATTTGCGTGTGTTTAGATAATTAAAGGAAAAAATCTTCACAGGTCAAAATATAATTGAATATACCTATCTGTAAGTTGTCAATTTTTTTTTAAATTAAGGATTTTGAGATCTTAAAAGTTGTCCTCCACTTCCCAATCAAACATACTATGTGTTTAAGGAAACAAAATATGATGCGTGTAAATTATTTAATTTAAAAGAACATCTCATTCTTTACTGGCATCATACTTCTTGTTAAAAACTTCACTGTAAGTGATCTGAATTTTCGAACATTAGCTTTCCCTCATTACCATAAAATCATGATATTTTAAAGGCAATTGAGAGTACAATTAACCTTAAGCAAAAGATGTCATCATATTCTGATTGATTATCTCAGCTTTCAAAGTCAGTCATCCAGAACCAGTGTTTCTAATAAAATAAATTTTTCAGAAATGAGATGTGATCTATATTTTCTTGGCTCTCTGAATACAGAACAGACCTTGTGGGATGCATGCCTAATGAGTCATCCTTGTTTTTCATGAAAAACATGATTTTCCAGTACTGTAGCATTTTGCTTTTTACTGATGCATTTGCATAAAATGAATATATTACAACTTGGATGTTGTAATTTAGTTAGTTTAATTATGAAAGTCACACCCACGCCTTGGTAATTTCATGAATCTGGAGGGTGCCCAAGTTTTTTTAGGGGTCTTATTCTGATATTATGTCTCTGTAGAGTGAAACTTTCTTAACTGTATTTGATTATGTTAATATTCTCCGAGTCTTGGAATGGGCACATGTTTACCATGAATACAAACACAAATGTACAAGGTCTCACTTTAGCAGCAATTCTGCCATGGAAGAATATAGGGCACACACAAAAGAATAATATGAACTAATTAAACATACTATCATATTACCCTTCCCATTGAATATGGTTTAATACTCATACATTGGTTTTAATTTAAAGCACTTACAATTAGTAGTCACCAATTCACAAGTTCAGTATTTTTATACCATGTGTGTCCATAGGCACTTACAGAGTAAAAAATACAGTCATTGACCCAGTTGCTAGTATCATCAGTATGCTTGGAATATCTCTCCAAGACCCACTTACCTCTGTGTTCACACCCAATCACATATTCATTCAGTTAACATGTTCTAGGCACTGCCATAGGACTGAAGGTATAACAAAGAATAAGGCAGCCACAGTGCCCTCTCTCATGCCACTTATATTCTAGTGGAGCAGACAGAATGCACAGTTTAACAAATTAAGTAATAACTACTTTTATAAATGTTATGAAGGAAATAAGTGGAATGCTGTGATGGAGCATAATGGTGGCCAATATCACCTTAAGATTTTCCTCAGCTTGCCTGAACTTTACACGGGTTTCTGCCTGATTATAGGTCCCCTCCCTCCCTTTCCTTAGAGCATTTACTTGAGAAAACTTGCCATTGTAATTACCTTCTCTACTTCTTTGAGATGCAATCTTCCCCCAGCCTTTTGACAGTTTACCACCCAGGAATGTCTTTCTGAAGGACCTGGGGCAAAGCTTTGAAATGTAATAATCAAGGATGGTAGGTCTCCTATTTCCCAGTCTCTATGGGAAGGTAGGAGCCTAACTTAACCAATTAGTAAACATAGATGATCTAATCACATTGAGAACCTCCCCCTCAACATTCTATAGGACTTTTCCACTAGCTCACCTCAGTGCTTAAACACTCTCTGGATTTTTGTTTCAGTGGTGTTGCATTCAGTCTGTCTCCTCTATTGCAATAGTCTTAAATAAGTCTTCCTTGTTTAGCATATTTGTCCAGGGCATTTTTTCTTTGACAGTTGAAGAAAGAAAACCCTGCCATCTTACCTTAGGTAGGGGTGAATAAAAGGCATCCATTCCATGAAGAGATGGCATTTAAGTTCCAACCTAAATCATAAGCAGAAGCAATGAGAAGAATAATGAAAGAGTACCTCAAGCAGAGGGAGCAGTGAGCACCATAGCCCGGTGGCTGGAAAGGGCTTGCCATGTTCAAAAGACCAGGGTGACTGACATGGGATTGAAGAGAGAGCATGAGACTGGCACACAGGCAGGGCCAGGTCATGCTGCCACTTGTAGGCCAAGGTTGGACATTTATATTTTATTATAAGTGTAATGGGAAACCATCACAAAGTCTTGAGCAAAAAAAAAAAAAAAAAAAAACTATGACCTGGTTTGAGAAAGAAAAAAATAGTCCAGCTGGAGCTGCTCTAAGGACTGGATGAGGTTAAAGTGTGATTCCCAGACATGAAGTCAGCCTCTCAATCTTCAGTTTGAAAAACAAGTGTTTGTATTTATGTATTTACTTATTTGACTTGAGATCTTGCTTTGTCACCCAGGCTGAAGTATAATGGCACCATCATAGTTCACTGCAGCCTCAACCTCCTGGGCCCAAGCAATGCTTCCACCTCTGCCTCCTGACTAGCTGGGACTAAAAGTATGCACCACCATGTCTGGTTAAGTTTTTAATATATTTTTAGAGAAAATGTCTTGCTACATTTCCCAAGGTAGTCTCAAATTCTTGGGATCAAGCTATCCTCCTGCCTCAGCCTCCTGAGTTGCTGGAATTATGGGTGTGAGTCACTTTGTCTGGTTAAAACATGTGTTTATAAAGATTCCAAATCTAGGAAGCATAGATTTGGTAACTGGGTGTATTAGCCTGTTCTTAAATTGCTATAAAGAAGTACCTGAGACTGGGTAATTTATAAAGAAAAGAGGTTTAATTAACTCACAAGCTGTACAGGAAACATGGCTGGAGAGGAATTAGGAAAGTTACAGTCATAGCAGAAGGCAAAGGGGAAGCAGCCACGTCTTACATTGCTGGAGAAGGAGGAAGAGAGAGAAGCGGGAGGTGCTACACACTTTTAAACAACTAGATCTGTGAGAACTCACTCACATAATGAGAACAGAAAGGGGGAAATCGCCCCCTTGATCCAATCACCTCTCACCAGGCCCCTCCTCTAACGATGGGAATTATAATTATAATTTGACGGGAGATTTGAGTGAGGACACAAATCCAAACCATATCACTGAGAGTTCTGAGAACTGAAAATAAATGCAAGATTAGAGTATTTCCCTAAAGAAAATGTACTCAAGTACATTTGATCTTCTAGATAAAAGGACAGAGAACAGGTATAATAATAAAAAGTTTCTTTTCAATGCAAGAAACCAAATGCATTGATAAACTACTCCAGTTACTTTGCCTGCCTGCCTCTGTAGACTCCACCTCTGGGGGCAGGGCATAGCCAAACAAAGGGCAGCAGAAACCTCTGCAGACTTAAATGTCCCTGTCTGACAGCTTTGAAGAGAGTAGTGGTTCTCCCAGCACAGAGTTTGAGATCTAAGAATGGACAGACTGCCTCCTCAAGTGGGTCCCTGACCCCTGAGTAGCATAACTGGGAGGCACCCCCCAGTAGGGGCAGACTGACACCCCACACAGCCGGGTACCCCTCTGAGATGAAGCTTCCAGAGGAATGATCGGTCAGCAACATTTGCTGTTCAGCAATATTCACTGTTCTACAGCCTCTGCTGCTGATAACCAGGCAAACAGGGTCTGGAGTGGACCTCCAGCAAACTCCAACAGACCTGCAGCTGAGGGTCCTGACTGTTAGAAGGAAAACTAACAAACAGAAAGGACATCCACACCAAAACCCCATCTGTATGTCACAATCATCAAAGACCAAAGATAGATAAAACCACAAAGATCGGGAAAAAACAGAGCAGAAAAGCTGAAATTTCTAAAAATCAGAGCGCCTCTCCCCCTCCAAAGGAACACAGCTCCTCACCAGCAACCAAACAAAGCTGGACGGAGAATGACTTTGATGAGTTGAGAGAAGAAGGCTTCAGGAGCACTAAACATGTATTACCTCAACTGATTTTCAGTGTTGATGGGGCTTTGTCAGAGGATTATGGACTTGGCTGAGTCATGTAATTGTGATTTGCCAGAGATTCAGACATACCTCTCTTTCCAATTTCCTCTTAACTCTATCACTAATCTTACTAATGAAATATAAAGGAGTAGGCATTGTTAGCACAGCAGGTCTATATAAACTTATTCATTACTTTAGGAACTGTAAACAGCCAATCAGCTAATATTTAAAACAAATGCATCAAACCTGTGGTCTATCCTGCCTTATGATGCCTTTCAAAGTCTCATTCAAAATTATTTGCAAAAGGCAAGATTTTCCTTTATGTCATTGCCTCTAAAGTTTAGACCCAAATTTGACCATTTTAATTTCTCTAGTTGAGACAATAAGCCATAATTGTATGGAGTAAGAATTTGATGACAATTAAGTGATTAAATGAATAAGTGAGTAAAGTAAATAATACCGTCTTTCAGATATTGGGAATATAACATCCATCCTCTATAATTAGAAATTGTGAACCAACATCTACTGAGATTAGCCACTCACAAAGAGGTTTTAATGTATTAAAGAAATATTAATTATCTACTTCAAGGTCAGCAAACCTTTTCTGTAAAGGACCAGATAGTAAATATTTAGACTGTGAAAACCATGTAGTCTCTGCTGCAACTCCTCAACTCTGTCATAAATAACTGTGCTAAATGCATTCCAATAAAACTTTATGGACACTGAAATTTGAACTTCACATCATTTGCACTTATTATGTAATATCCTTTTTTATGGATTATTTTCAAACATTTCAAAATATAAAAGCCATTCTTAGTTTGCAGGCAGTACAAAGCAGTCTCTGCCTAGAGTTAGCATGGCCCCTGTTTGCTGACCTCTGATTTCCTGCACGTCAGGCGTTGGAGAGACCAGGATAAGAAAGATAGTTTTATAAAGTTGTTGATGATGAGACTAAGGGATCCACCAAATCCAAGTTACATGACTAAGTATTACGTTATGGAAGACCAGTCTAATGTAACCTTGAAATTTTTGCATGAAACTTGTCCAGCATGTGACATTCTCTTTTCTTTTCCTTCTTTTTTCTTGAGACAGGGTCTCACTCTGCCACCCAGGCTGGCGTGATCACGGCTCACTGCCACCTCAACCTCTAGGTCTCGAGCAATCGTTCCACCCCAGCCTCACAAATAGCTGGAAAGACAGGTACACCATCACGCCTGGCTAATTAAAAATTTTTTTGTAGAGATGGGGTCTCACTATGTTGCCCAGACTGGTTTTGAACTCCTGAATTCAAGCAATCTCCCTGCCACTGGACTCCCAAAGTGCAGGAATTACAGGCATAAGCTACCACGCCTGGCTAGTCATAACATTCTTGAAGATCAAGAAGAAGTTGGAGAAAATTCATTTTCATGGGCCTCTTAAGGAGAAAGCGCCCTTACAAAAGAAGTCCTTTTTTAGAAAGGAAAGATATAGAGTGAGCAAAAGCAAGTCTCCAGACAGTTCTACTTATGAATGAAACATCCCACAATCTATTCAACTCCTTTGGCTCTGGTGTCATGCTTGTTAGGAAACTTTGATTTCCCATTCAGTTTCCCAGGTACTTTGATATTTCAAAGGTAATGTCCTGAGTAGCAGATATAATTATTCCTACCATAGGAAATGAAGTTCCCCACTATGAATTAATAAACTGGTAAGCTTGGATAGTTTCAATCAATTCCCCAGAGTCTGATAAATAAAAATAACTTTCTGAACAAGGAAAACTGAGTACCAGACCTGGTGTCTTGCTAAGCCCCCCAAGGTAGTGGCTTCCCTTGAGGCTCTGACTATACTGTAGGCACACAGCTCTTCACTGCCAACTTCTCAGTCAAGCAGTATGCTTCTGTCCTGCCAAACTTTCTCTTTAGCACCTTTAGAATGTATATATTTATTTTTTATTTTCTCTGTGAATATTTCAGTATATTCTCTATTACGACTTTTGTTAATGCCACAATTCCATTATTATCCTTAAAGTACATTTATATTAATTCCATAATATCAACAAATATGCAGTTAATGTTAAATTTTCACCGTCTCACAAGCATTTTAAATTTAGAGTTCTGTTTATCTTTCTTTTTATCATTCTATATCTGCATGCATTTACTGGGAAGCAAATGATTACTTTCTAAGGTAGAAAATAGAGCTTTTAAAAATTCAACCTAAAGCTTTCTTTTCAAACCTTAGCAAGAGCCTGTCTCTATAGTAAACAGAGCACTGGATTGAGAATCGAAAGATCAATTAAGTTGTGGATCTTTCTCTGCCGCTTAATTTATAAGACAGGGACTCCACAGAACTTGTCAGGGACACATTTCTTCACCTGATGAAATAAGAAGGTTGAATAAGTAGATGCTCTCCAAAATCCTTTTCCACACCACATTTTGTGAGTTCTATAATTCTATAAAGGTACCTTGTCTGTACCCTTTGTAATTGTTTGGATAGGTGATATCTTCCTCAAGTCCAGAACTTAGTCTATTGAAAAATGCAAAATTTTGTGATCAATCTTTAAATGGAAACAGTCACATTCGTTTGAGAATTTAGGTAATTCACGTAGACTGCATATCTTTTCCAATTTACCAGATAATTATTCCTCTTGCTCCTTTGTTTAGACAACATACAAAGATCTATTCTAACCAAAACATCCAGTGTTCATGCTTAAATTTTTGTATCCCTTTCTTAAAAGTAAAGAATCTTTCAGCTTGAGGATTTTTTAAAAAAAATAGTGTTAGACAATATCTGTGTTGAAGGCCTTCCCCTTCTTTGAACATTACTGGGTTAAATAAGTAGCAGCCAATTGTATAAAATAACAATGATATATGATGCATCACAACTAACTTAGTACTTGCTGAATTTGTATTTAATATAGAAGCAACAAATTGATGTTTCTCTCTTGTGGTTTAATATTCTTCTCTATTACCTTCTTCTTAGAAGGTAAAGAAATTTATCTTTTAAATGTAAAGGTCACTGGTAGCCCAGAGGCTTCAAGAAATCAATGTTCCAGTGATAATTAAAGGTTACAATTTAGAAGAAGACTTACAACATAGTAAGTTAAAATCCAATAATGAAGGTATGAGAAGTGGTCTAGATAATCAAAGCTAACATTTATAAATGTAACTAATAAAAATAGTTTCTAAAGAGCTTCTAAAACGTAAAAATTTTATTATGATTTAACATTAGATATAAATGTGTAATGTTAGTTTTTAAGTCTCTTCCAATCACTAACTGAATTACACATTTATTTAAAAGTGATCCCAACAAATTGTCCATGTGTATTTCTGTGTTCATATAGAATTTTTTAAAAATAGACATCTTCTTTTTTTCTCATAAAGTTGTATGCGTTTTTTTCTTTCTTTAACATAGTCCTTAAATTTAGAAGATAAACACAATAAAAACTTGACTAAAAAGTAATTTGGCCAATTTGGTACAACACAAGCAAGAGTAAAGAAACACTCTAAATATATATACATATTTGCAGGGTGGAATTCATTCCTCTCCTGTATTAAGTGGGACAAATGGCAGTAGAGAAACCATACTCTCCATTAATCTAGAGAGAGACATCATCCTCCACGATCTGCTGCAACTACATCTGAGCAAATATATGTGACACAAAAATGTGGCAACCAGAGACAATTTAGGATTAGATGGACAGAGCCAAATAGCATTCATCAATGAATAAATAGTAACCCTATAATTCCAGAGTCATTGTGGTGGCAGGGCAAGAATTAAGAATAAAGTTATTCCATCCAACAGCACAGCTCACAAGAAGATGAAGTATTAGCAGATTGATGAAGTTCAAAAATGCCCCTGGATTTTCATTTTCTCAATAGATGTAAAAGCACATCATTTGCCTATGTCCATATTTTCTATCACCCCCAATTCTCATCACCCCCAATAAATTATAGGTGACCACAGAGGGATGGAAACCTAATTCAAAATAAGCCATTCTATAGGCTGGTAGTGACTTATATCTTAAGAGCCATATAGGGTGGTATGAACAATTGAGTGAAAAAATAGGTTTTTTTTTTAGAAATCTGGAATCGAAAACCAGGATAGTGAGGAAGTTAGCAATAAGAGCACAAGCCAAAAGATTGCATCCCATGACGTCCAGCTGTAGATTCTGTACCAAATGAGCTGTGGCAATCCAAAGTCATAAGGAAGATGGAATTCTTTGAGGCCCACGTGGAATCTAGTCCCTGGAGCTGTTTTTGTTCTTGGTGCTTTTACTTAAGCAGCTAGAGTGAGCCTCTGTTCCTAGTAACTATGTAAAACTCACAGACACCCAGCAAAGCTGCCCCTCTCAAGGTCATTTCCTCTCAGGTTACCTCCAGTTTGAAAAAATCTAATGGTTATTCTATTTTTGTTCACTTGACTTATTGGCATTTGATAGGGTTGAGCATTTCTTCCTCCTAAAAACATTTCTTTCACTTGTCTTCCAAAACCACATTCTCTTGGTTGACCTCCTCCCTCACAGACATTTCCTTCTCAATCTCCACTGCCAGTCTCTCTGGCTTCGAAACAAAGATGTCCATGGCTGGATTCTTGGTACTTGCATTAGTCCCTTCTCATACTGCTACAAAGAAATACCTAATACTGGGTAATTAATCAAGAAAAGAAGTTTAATTGGCTTACATTTCTGCAGGCTGTACAGGAAGCATAGTGGTGGCATCTACTTAGCTTCTGGGGAGGCCTCAGAAAACTGACAGTCATAGCAGAAGGCAAAGAGGGTAGCAGACACATCACATGGCCAGAGCAGGAACAAGAGAGCCAGAGAGGACGTGTTACCTGCTTTTAAATAATCAGATCTCATGAGAACTCATTCAGTATTGTGAGGACAATACCAAGGGGGATGATGCTAAAAATTCCTGAGAACTCCACTCCTGTGATCTAATCCCTCCCACCACGCCCCACCTCCAACATGAAGAATTACAATTTAACATGAGATTTGGGCAGGAACACAGATCTAAACCACATCAGTTCTTTCTTGTATCTACAATTACTCACTTTGTTATCTCATCTAATTTCATGGCTTTAAAATTTTTTTTTTTTTTTTGAGACAGAGTCTCGCTCTGTCGTCCAGGCTGGAGCGCAGTGGCAAGATCTCGGCTCACTGCAAGCTCCGCCTCTCAGGTTCACGCCATTCTCCTGCCTCAGCCTCCTGAGTAGCTTGGGACTACAGGCGCCCGCCACTACGCCCGGCTAATTTTTTTGTATTTTTAGTAGAGACGGGGTTTCACCGTGTTAGCCAGGATGGTCTCGATCTCCTGACCTCGTGATCCGGCCGCCTCAGCCTCACAAAGTGCTGGGATTACAGGCGTGAGACACCGCGCCTGGCTGGCTTTAAATATTTTCTGTTGGCTCATAACTCCCAAACTTATACCTCCTGCTAGAAATTTTCCCTGAATCCCATACTTTTATTCCAACTGCCTACTTGGTACTTGTATACATATCTAAAAAGCATCTTATACTATTCAAAGCTAAACTCCCAAGTATCCATCCAAAATGTGCTGTACTGGTGCTCATCTCCATTATGTAAATGACAATTTTATTCTTCCAGTTGTACACACCAAAAATCATGGCATAATTCCTGACTCCTCTTTTTATATTGTACCTCATATTCAATCCATCAGCAAAATTTGGCCTTATCTTCAAAATATATCTACATTTGGACTACATCTCACTATGTCCAAATTATCACTTTGATCTGTGTCATCATCATTTCAGTACTTTAGCTTCTGAACTGGTCTCATCTTACACCGTTGCCCCTTACAATATATCCCCAGCACAGCGGCCAGAGTAATCTTTTTAACAAAGTTTGGTCGTGTCATTTCTTTACTCAAAACCCTCCAGTGGTCTCCCATATTACTCAAGGTAAAAGCCAAAACTACTTGGCCAAGTAGACCCTGGATAGGTCTTTGACTCCATCTCTCTACTTTGGCACTGTGAAAAAAGAGAGTTAATATAGCAGGACTGAGACTGTTATCCTTAGAGACACCTGCTTGCAAGGTTGACCCTCAACTGGCATCTGGGAACTTAAATTTGGGGAAGATTCTCACAACCCTCCCTGATAAAAGTATCTCACTGTGCATAAACTGATTGAGCAAACAATATGATTTATGCTAACCATCTACTTTCATTTTGGAAGTCGGGAATGCTAGGCAAAGGTTGCTTATATGACAAACCTCCGAAAAACCCTGGGAACTGCGTTTCTAATGAGCTTGCCTGGAAGATGACATTTTACACATTACAATTCATTCCTGGGGTAATCAAGCATGTCCTATGTGATTCCACCTGGAAAGGATTCTGAAAACTTGGGCTGGGTTTTCCCCAGATTACACCCCATACCCTTTTCCCTTTGCAGTTTTTGCTCTGCATAGTTTCACTGAAATAAATTGTAGCCATGAGTAAAACTGTATGTTTAGTCCTATGAGTACTGCTAAAAAAACCATCTAACCTGGGAAGAGGTGTTTTTGGGGGGCCCTGATTGAGCAATCATTGAACTCTTACTGAATATCTACTATGCGCCAAACATTGTACTTCAATTTTACTGGGCTGAGTTAGACCATATATGACTTTGTTTAGCCCCTCTTCTTTAGGATATGGGGTGTCCCCCATCCCAAAACTGATCCAACCTGCATTCTGCTCCATGACTCCTTCCTTAGAGGCATCCCCTTACCAGGAAACACTTCTAGGCACAGTCACATGATAGAACTGGTGAAGAAAGAAACCCTGTGGAAGAGAAGAATCCACAGGAGCCCAGAGCACCCAGGCTCCGAGCCGCCTCCATTGTAATTTCTTTACAGCTTTCCAAAGTGAACAAATGGGAGACTCTTGACATAGACTATAACTCTTTTCCTGAGACATAAAGAGATGTCTTTTCAAGGTTCCAGTACTGGTTTTTGGGATCTGCTATTAATACTATTGTTTGGATTAGAAATATTCAATTGTAATATAACGGAGAGAGCTTGCATATATAAGCTATCCTACCAGAAGCACAATAGTAAATGTAAAAGGCATATACTACAAATAACCTCATGCCACAAATAACAACTTATGATGTAAATAACCACCTAAAGCCTCATTTCTACTTTGTTCACTTCGGAAAACTATACTACCTTTGTCTACCACATGCATTCCTATTCAAGTCTAATCATTGTTCTTCAGGAAAAATGTTTTCAAAAGACCTGCAAAAATGATCAAGGAGGTGGACTCACTGCCATATGCAAATGGACTAAAGTGATTAGGATCCTTGGGACTAAAAGTATAAAGGTTTAACAAATATATTAAGTGCTATGAATAATTCATTTACCAAATTCCTAAGCAGTTAGCAGTGATCACATGAATTAAAACTAAGAGCTAAGTTTTGGATAAAATAGCCTGCTCTAAATTCTGTAGTATACAGTCAACTTTCGAAAATGATCGTAATAAGCTGTACAGGTTGGGATTTTTCTATTTCTTAAAAAATCTGTATTCAGTTTCTGTTGCTGTGTAACAAATCACAACACACTTGGTGGCTTAAGGCAATACCCATTTATTATTCCCATTTCTGTGAATCAGAAGTCCAAGAGCAGCTTAGCTGGACTCGCCACTTAGAAGTTCACACTCAAGGCATCAGCCAGACTGTGATTTTATCTGGAGGCTCTGGAGAATAATCCACTTCCTAGCTCACTCAGAATGTTGGCAAAATCCAGTTCCTAGTGGTTGAAGGACTGAGCTGCAACCTAGTCTAGCAGTTGCTCTAGGGTCCTAGCTGTAGTCTAGCAGTTGGTCTACGGTCCTGGGCCATTCCCTGCCATGTAGGCCCCTCCACTCTCAGAGCCAGCCACAGAGAATCTCCCTTGCATCAAATAATTCTCATGCGTCCAATTTCTTTCCAGAAAGAGCCCACTCCCTTTTAAGGGCTGTCGTGATTACAACCACTAATTAAAATCTCCCTGTCTTAAGAACATCTTAATATTTTGAGACTTAATTGCACCTGAAAAATCCCTTCACGTGAGCACCTAGGTGCATTTCATTGAGTAACTGGGAGAAGATGCACATACCGCAGATGGAGACCATCCTAGGGGTTATTTTATAATTCTATCCACCACAAAATCCTTATATACATCTCAGAAAGTTGGGGTTTTGTCAATGTTTCTAATCTTTGAGATTAATATCAAATAAGAATACACTCTTTACTCATCATAACATGGCCCTGTGTCTGTGTTAAAAACAAAACTGGGGCTGGAGAAGGCACAGTGGGAATGATTGTTTATGTTCTCAGGTTTTCTCCTAACTCTAGTAACTTCTTCACATTTTTCTTAATGGTTTTATCAGCTTTACCAATAATTGAGGTCTCTTTTCCTTTCTGTATTCTTTTCTCCGCTAGTTTAATTAGTAATCAAACTTAATTGACCAAAATTCATATGGATAGCTATCACAAATAAGCATTGGGAAGAGACATTTTCCAACAAAATAAAGGTGTAGGACATCCTAATGAAGTTAGAGCTGTGGTAGGCAGTGAGGAAGGTTTATTCAGAAATTACAGTGACAAGTAGACTGCTCTTGGGGAGGACAACTCAACTATTCCTCTTAGTTTCAGAGAGGAGCTTTAGGTACCAGGTTTTGACAAAATTATAGAATAATATTAGAGAAACACCCAAATACTGATTTCTCCAATCTAATTATTTTGACAAGCACTTAAAATAAAACAGTGTAATTTTAATATTTCAGCTAGGTCATGACATGTTTATTTTCTAGCTATGTCAGATAGATGTGTGCCTTCACTATAAAGCAACAGCAAGGACAAATCAAGAGTTCAAGTCTTTGGTCTCTTCAATTTTATCATCTTTAAATCTTCAGTAAAGACTAAAATATACAGCATAGTTTGACTCACCAGGAAGCCTATTCTTTTTACCTAACTTTAAATTGGTCAGTCAAAAAGTAAGTTGAGTGGTTTGCCAATGGTCTAATATTTGATGTCTACCCCACATAACACATGTATAAAAATATGAACTATCTATGTACCTATGGACTTGAGTGCAAGTGAAGTCTAACAAATTATTTTGTATGTTAATTTAAAAATATATGCCATATAGATAAATTCTCACATGCCATAGCAAGGCCTAAAGCAGAGTTTGCTGCCAAATTTTAAACTCTTGAAGGTAGTCTCTTTTGATAGAATCTAGGACACAGAGTACCATTTTGTTCTGTGTCTTCCCTTTTAATTCAATGTCCACAGCAAAAACTTCAAAAAGGACACTTTCTCCTAGAATAGGTCATGTTCTGCAAAAGAAAGCAGAGCAAAAATCAAGTGTCAGTGATTTTTATGCAGAAGTACAGATATGCAAAAGCAGTAGTAGAGTCGACCTGATTATTTTAAAGATTAAGAGAAGAAACTCGATGCTGACAAACTAGCTTTCTACAGCTTTCATTAAGGAACATGGACTTCAGGGCCAGATATTCCAACCACTGACGGACCAGTTTACTTAAATTTAATCTGTAAAATGGAAATAATATCTCTTATGCATTAATGTTGTAAAATGAAATAAAACATGAAAAATTCTTCACTGTAGTTTGTGGTACAGTGTAACTGCTAAATAAATATTACTATCCTTATGTTATTAGTAAAGAAAATGTCCTTAACAAATTGACATATAAGTTGCAACATTTTGTGGAGCAGCGAAGTTTAACTATATTGCTATGTAGTGACCTGTAGTTTGTAAGCAGGCCAGCTGCCATTTTTCCTGAGCTTGTGTTTTCACTTCAAAGTATACATAAACCTGCTGATAATTTATGTGCTGATCACTCACTATGAGCTGTAAAGTCAAGTCAATAATTCAATAGGGAAAAAGTGGATCTGCGAAGGTTAATGTTGTAGTAGCTGTTTTAGTTTACCCATTTAATATGCTGGGCAGTGTGGAATGATCACCTCTATTAAGGAGTTTTGGTACTTTATCCTTAATTCTGTCCCAGTTTAGAACTTCAACCTCTAGTTCCCGTTATTCATTTCCTAATGCTGCTATAATAAATTACTACAAACTCGGAGGCTAAAACAACACAACTTTATTATCTTGCAGTTCTTAATGTCGACAGTCTGACATGGCTCTCAACAAGCTAAAATCAAGATGTTGGTAGGGCTGGCTTCTTCAGTTTTTATTATTCTAATATTAGAATTGTTTTCTTTCTATAAGCAAATATCAACAAACAGGGGCTGGAGAAGAAGTAGGGATGCTTCCAAAACTTTAGACTAAGCATTTATTAAGATGGTTGTTCATCTCTCCATGGGCAAGGGCTCACCATCATATCATTTCAGTGGAAGAAATTGGTAACTGTCTTTGTGCCTGAGAGTAACATACTTGAACTATAATCATGATCTCTGAAGATTGCTATTTTTTCTTCATTTACAAAAAGAGGTTTATGTAACTTTCACCTTAGACTCTTTCTTCTCAGCTATAGCTGAAGTATAGCTTCATGTGTGGACACTGCATGTTACAGACATAAACAAAACCAAGCTTTTGCAGTAGAGTATTAGTAGGGACATGAAGAGACTCAGAACAAAATTATATCTGGAGAAGCTGGAGAAATTTTGAATATTTAACCAAGAAAAAAAGTACTTAATGAGTCTGGAAAGCAAGAGAATGAAAATAACTTTTAATTGAATCAATATAAACGTTATAGGTGCTTACTATGGGCCTGGGATGGTGCCTTAGCTGTGAGAGTACTACAATACTTAAGACCCACAATCCTCTCTCTTGTGGAAATGGAGACATAATTAGATAATTTTAAAACAATATATTAAGACCTGATTTCAAGTTATGTTTATGATAGTTGCTTTGGAAGTTTACATTCAGGCTCTCATGAAGGTGCAAGATTCATTGGCTTAGTGCCATTGTAATTTTATGATCTCTAACCTCAAAAGGATCTTTCCACCAGTTCTCTAAAACCCTTTTGTTTTTCTCTTTGGAAATGAATCACCTTTGATCCTTCCATCTCAGCATAATCTTTCCCATCAACATGTGAACATGTTCAAGTCCCACCCTTCTTCAAACAAAATCATTTCTGAATTCATATTCCTCTAACTTATTGTCATTCTCACTCCCCTCTACTTTATAAGCCAAATGCTCCAAAGCATACTCTACATGACATGTCTCTATTTTTCATCTCTGATTCTCTCCTTAACCCATCACATTCTGGCTCCCAACCTCAGCAGTTTCCACAAGAAATTGAGCCATTACCAGACTCATTAATAATTATCTCATTGCAAAATGCCATGATTAAGTTTTAATTTTTACTGTAGTTGAGCTCTTTGCAGTAGTTGACACAATTATCTACTCCTTCCTTTATAAAAACAAAACAAAACCAAAAAACTCTTTTCCCCTTTATCGCATGACATCACCCTACACGGAGCTTCGCCCTACCTCAGTAGCAGGATCTTATTCTTCCTTTCCATCTCTTAAATTGGGTGTCCTGGTCCTCCACTTTTCTCACTTTATAAATTATCCTAGAAAATGTCCATATATTCTTATATTTTTCATTACTATCTACATGCGGAAATTGCCAAACCCAAAGCGAATGCCAAGAAAAATTCTATGAGTTCCAGACTCGTATATCCATCTCACTACCTTTGATATCCCTTAGATAACTTGAAATCAGTATGTCCAAAAATGAACTCATTATCTTCTTCTCACCTAATACCATATCTCCTCCTGTTCTTCCTAACTCAGTGAACAGGATGACCATCTACCCAGTAACTCAAACCAGAAACCTGAGTATCATCTTTGAGGGCCCACTCTGTGGCTTGCTTGCGGCTATGCAAGGACAGTCTCTCCAGCTGTGCAGTGCACAATCTGCCTTCCATTCCCGTACCCCATATATCCTCAGACTGTCCTATTGATTGTCCTCCCAAGTATCTTCCGCTTTCCTTGCATCCCATTACCACTGCTCTGGTATTATTTCCCATCATTTTTTGGCTGTATCACAGTGAATCATAATTGGCTATTCTCCTTCCTTTTTTGCACTCAACTAAACTTTACACTGAAATAAGTTTGTTTCTAAAATGTAAATAAGATTATGTCTTCTTCTCAGTGATATTCTCCTTTAAGTGGTTCCCTATTTTCATAAAAATATGGTCTGAAATCTGTCAAGACCTACCTGTCTTTGCTTCTCTGGTCCCGAAATCACATATTTGGTCATGGGGAACATTAGTTCACCATACTTTCTTTTCTCTGGACCTTTGCATATTTTCTTCCATTTCATCTGTCTGCAATGCTTTCAATTGCTTGGCTATTACTGCCTTCAAAGAGCTGAAAGGACACTCCCAATGATTATCCTTATATTATTACTATTAGACTCTGTGAGGGCAGGAAATTTGTCTGTCCTTTGCAATATTGTGTCTCCAGTGTTTAGCATAGCCTGTGGAATTTAATATATGTTCTGTATATAGGTATGTATATATATTTTTTTATATTTTAGAAAGTGAGACTGATTTTAGAAAGTGAGACTCCATCTCAAAAAAATTAATTAGTATATAACAAAATATATATTAATTTTTAAATTACATATATAAATATAAATTTATTATCTATTTATATAATATTATATATTATAACATATTTAATATATTTATAATATATTCAATATTATATATATAAATTTTTAAAGTTAAAAAATATGAACCCAATAAGTGAAACAAAAAATTACAAATTTATATTATGACAGACATTCACTGGCTTAATATAAGAAAATTGGGTTCTCTTGAACAACTCAATTGTCCAATATTGGCATAAATAAATAAATGGATAAGAGATAATGTATTCAATACTTTAACTGTTGCTGCACACTTTAGGATCACCTAGGGGAAATAGAGGGCTGGAGAGACCGCTTTCTTCTATGAATCAATCTTTCTAAGTTAAAAGGTTTACTAGCTGAATGAATGTATGTTAAAACTTTATAGTCTTTATAGTCTATCTTTAATTATGAATTATAAATATGTAATTATAAATTTCCAGAGGGTAACTGAAAGTCAAATGGGTCCTGTGTAGTCATTAAATTTATGACATGATTAGCAAGCATTTTAATGCAGAAAATGTGTTTAATGCGTTTTAAAACTGGTGCCTAGATTCCACAAATAAGAGAACATACAAAGTTTGTCTTTCTGTGTCTGGCTTATTTCACTTAACATAATGACCTCCAGTTCAATCCATGAAACATAGACAACTATAAATGAAATTGTCTAAGTTCTAAATTCTCAATGTTGAGAATAAGTCTTTTAGAAAACCTTTTACAAGGTAGAGATAAAAGTTAAGGTAGTCTCTGTCTCCTTGTAATAATAAAAATTGCTCTATTGCTTCCTAATATTTATATTAATAACTAAGATATTTTCATAAAGATGACAATTAGATAGGAGTCAGACCTGGAGGCAACATGTGAACATGCTCTGCATTATCCTAAAAAAAAAGTTTTATGCATGTTTAGCAACAACTACTGTAATTTATAGTATATGATTTCAAAAAAGCTTTTGCAATTTTTCCTCTGTATGATCTCTGTTGAGTAATTATTTACTTACATTAAAATGGTCAGGATAACACAAGTTAACAAGTAACTTGCAAGGATAAAAAAAGAAGTGGAGAGCTAACAAAAATAAGATTTTCAGGTAGAAAATATCATCTTTTTTTTTCCTTTCTCAACAAATATAGTACAGATCACCCCACTGTCACTGTGCAAAAAATTAACGCATTGACTTAATTCTTTTCAAGCACAGAATGTTCTGTGCCTAAACAAGTGACTTGAGCATTTTTATTCTAAAGAGTCAAAATGGCATGCCTTTAGCAACGTTACAGATTTAAATATATATAATCACTTGCAAAGATAGAGATAATTTTTCACTAGTTCAAATTTTTTGTTCAATGAAAATGAGTGAACTTTGCTTTCAGAGAAGCAGTAACTTTGGGGGAATCAGGTGTGGGCTTAAATAATAGTCCACCTTCTCACTGGCTCTGCAGGCACAGACCTTAAGTCTGATTCTGGGAGAGGGTAGGCCTAGAGGTCCCCAGCAAAGGGTGAAGGGATGCTGATGTTTACTTCCTCTAGATGTTGATGCCTAGAGAAGCAAGAGAAAACTTGAATATTGACCCTGAAGTTCCTTTAGAAGGCAAATTCAGGAATCAAACAAAAGTAAATGAATCAGAGAACCAGCCAAAGATTTGGAGATTCCTTAGAAGGATCATAGAAAGATTTTTGAATTGTAACCGTGCCTACATAGACAGCGTAGTGTGGAAGGCTTCTATTGAGGATGATGATGCAAAGAAAGAAGAGAAGTAATGCTGAAACTTCAAGACCAACAAGAAGTAAGTATACAAAGAAGAATTCAAGATGCCTGGCTTAAACGATGGTGCAGGTGATGACGTCACAGTGGGATACAGAAAAATGAAGAGAAACATATAAGGCAAGAGAAGGAAGTGAGTTTAGTTTGGTTAAATAAAGCTTATGCTTCCTCTAAGACAGGCAGGTAAATTCCTAAGGGATGATAAAATTTTAGGGTCAGTAAGGGCAATAACAGATACTAAAATTGTTGAGAAAGGTAAGGTAGGCATAGGATACTAGAGACTCAGTAGAGAAGCCATATGAAAAAGTTTGTCCAATGCAGCAGAGATGATTGGCAGATTTCAGATTATAAGAGGTCAACTAAATTGACACAGGCTGATCTCTAGTGACTTGTGAGAGCAGTGACAGGACAGTGATGAGTGGCAGTCAATCATACTGTGGTGAAGAGCAAAGGAGGAGCTGAAAAGTAGGGGCAAAGTGTGTACATTGTCCATTAAGACGATTGACAGTAAAGAGGTGCCTTGGTAGCTTGAGATATTGACAAAATTAAGAACATATCTCTGAAGATTGACAAACTTTCTTGAGCAGGTTTTATCTTAAAGCTCAAGAAAAAGAATAGGTAGAAAAAAATTAAGGCACAAGAATATGATTGGCAAGTCTCAGAGAAGTGTAGAGATTGGTAACAAGAATCTAGCAAATGAGGTCAAGATAGAATAAGACTAGGAGAAGCTCCTGCCCTGAGACCAAAATAAATGTTATAGAAATATACATAAGTGTAGGATCAGCCTCTTATTCTTTACAATGATTTGTCAGTGATAAAGAATACCTACAATGTTTAATTGATTTAACTCTTTTATTTGTTCCTTTATTAACTAATAGTTAAGACATACTATGTTTTATTTCAGTTTAAACAATGAACATATTAATAGATGTATGATTTTATAATGGTTGCCATAGGTTAATTTTCCAAAATAAACAATCATTCTGGAACCTTTGAAATTATTTTAATCTCAATAGTTCAAGGCTTTTAGAAGAATTTACCAGCTATCCCTTAAATACAGTTTTTTCTGTTAATGCAATAGAATTTTAAAATAAAGAGAAGAAAGCTTCACTTCCATACAGATTGCAAAACTAATTTCCTCATTACTTATTGCCATTAAAAACTCTCATTCTCCTATTCCTTAAATTAACAATTTTTTCCAATAAAAATACAGATAATGAGCAAGACTTTATTACAAAGTACAAATATCAGGAAAACAACCTAATGCTGAACGCTACTCACTGCTGCATGAATTTATTCAGCCCTGGCTAATTAACGGATGGATTTTCTATATTCATTGTTTGTTATAATATTCTGTGTGCTAAAATGCATCAGTATTTTACATGCCATTCCAACTAGAAATATAACCAAAAAGTAAAAATTCACTTAATTTATAGTTAATTAAAATTCCACACTAACGCTCACTTTCTCATTTTTAAGAGTAAATGAACATTTTAAAGTCTATATGGATTAAAATTAGCATATTTCCCATGCATGTTTTACACACGTATTTGTTCCTTAAGAAAGCTCTTAGATGAAATACTACATAATCAGATTCTAGAAAATATTTTTAGAGCTTATATTTGCCAGGCACTTTACTCACTAACTCGCTTATTCTTCATAAAAAACAACCTGAGGGAGAGCCTATTACTATCTCCATTTTACAGATGAAAAAGTGAGAAAATAAGTTAACTTCACCAAAGTCACACACAGCTGGGTGACAGAGGAAAGATTTGAAGCCAGGCTATCTGGCTCCCAAGTCCAGCATCAGAATCACCGTGCTATTCTGTCTTCACTGGTTTTGACTAAGGGTGGAGGTTTCTGGCTTAAGTTATTCTCAAATGACATCAAATCAATGCATTAACAATGGCATATTTAAATAATTAAACAATCTTGACTACATAATTTCAAACAACCTGTTTGAGTCAAATTACCACATACTCTGAAATTGTGTAGACAAGACTTTTTCAAGACCACAACCACTCGAGGAAAGCTTCCCATTTCAGTAATTTTGTGTACATGTGAGAATTGCATTGACTCCTTCAAAACCTAAGGAGTATCATTTAATAGGTGAACACACTAGATGAGTAATTTACCTTCCCTGACTTTTTAATGATCACCATTCTAACTGGCATGAAATGATATCTCACTATGGTTTCGATTCGCATTTCTCTAATGACCAGTGATGATGAGCTTTTTTTCATATGTTTGCTGGCTGCATAAATGTCTTCTTTTGAGAAGTGTCTGTTCATATCCTTCGTCCACTTTTTGATGGGGTTGTTTGCTTTTTTCTTGTAAATTTGTTTAAGTTCTTTGTAGATTCTGGATATTAGCCCTCTGTCGGATGAATAGATTGCAAAAATTTTCTCCCATTGTGTAGGTTTCCTGTTCACTCTGATGATAGTTTCTTTGGCTGTGCAGAAGCTCCTTAGTTTAATTAGATCCCATTTGTCAATTTTGGCTTTTGTTGCCGTTGCTTTTGGTGTTTTAGTCATGAAGTCTTTGCCCATGCCTATGTTCTGAATGGCATTGTCTAGGTTTTCTTCTAGGGTTTTTATGGTTTTAGGTCTTACGTTTAAGTCTTTAAGCCATCTTGAGTTAGTTTTTGTATAAGGTGTAAGGATGGGGTCCAGTTTCAGTTTTCTGCATATGGCTTGCCAGTTTTCCCAGCACCATTTATTAAATAGAGAATCCTGTCCCCATTGCTTGTTTTTGTCAGGTTTGTCAAAGATGGCAATCATTAAAAAGTCAGGAAACAACAGATGCTGGAGAGGATGTGGAGAAATAGCAACGCATTTACACCGTTGGTGGGAGTGTAAATTAGTTCAACCATTTTGGAAGACAGTGTGGCGATTCCTCAAGGATCTAGAACCAGAACTACCATTTGACCCAGCAATCCCATGACTGGGTATATACCCAAAGGATTATAAATCATTCTACTATAAAGACACAGGCACACATATGTTTATTGTGGCACTGTTCACAATAGCAAACGCTTGGAGCCAACCCAAATGCCCGTCAATGCTAGACTGAATAAAGAAAATGTGGCATATATACACCATGGAATACTATGCAGCCATAAAAAAGGATGAGTTCATGTCCTTTGCAGGGATATGGATGAAGCTGAAAACCATCATTCTCAGCAAACTAACACAAGAACAGAAAACCAAACACTGTATGTTCTCTCTCATAAGTGGGAGTTGAGCAATGTGAACACATGGACACAGGGAGGGGAACATCACACACTGGGGCCTGTCATGGGGAGGGCAACTAGGGGAGGCATAGCATTAGGAGAAATACCTAATGTAGATAACTGGTTGATGGGTGCAGCAAACCACCATGGCACATGTATACCCTATGTAACGAACCTGCACATTCTGCACATGTACCCCAGAACTTAAAGTATAATAAAAAAAAAATTACCTTCACTGTCTTCAGGAGTATTTGAATAGAAAATCTAAAACCTGGTTCATTGTGTATCCACACCATCATAACTCCTTTCTAGGGAGAAGCTTTTGATACTCTCAAACACTATCAACTTTCAATGGCAGATTTTTTTTTTATGTACTCAAAGAAAGATCCCAGCTCACTGTTGCCCTGGTAACCATGGACCCCAGTGCAATGTATTCTTGAGGAGAAAGCGCAGTACTCTGTGGCATTTCCTTTAGCTGGGATAGTGTTGCACTCTCTGAGCAAGTTGATTCCCCTTTACATGTGGTCCTAAGAACATGAGCAACCAGATTTTCTAAGAATTCCCAACCAAACAGCTCTATCTCAGGTCACTATTAGTCCTGAACATGGGTTCAATTACTCAATTTTCCAAGAGTCCTGAGCAAGGTCATTGTTATTTAATCTTTACTCCAGCTGTTTAAGGAACATGAAAAGAGCTGCCATGTGTCTTTAGCTCTGAACCATTTGATTGAATTTCCCAGGCTTTTTTCTCTTATCTTCCCCATTTATAGTCTAATATTGACAGCACTACCATCACTTCAACTAATACTATTTAATACAACAGAAATGTTATTAGGTTGGTGCAAAACAATTGCAGTTTTTGCCATCAAAAGTAATGGCAAAAACCACAATCACTTTTGCACTAGCCTAATATTTAAATCTATGAATTTCCCTGTAGTAATTCTCTCTGTTGTGGGAGAGAATTTAACTCATAATAATGGCATAAAATTTCTATATGCTCCTTTCTCTTTATCGAGACAAATAGGAAAGAAAGAAAATAGGGGACTCAGGGCTATAAAGCTGATGTTGAGCAAAGCATTTCACCAAATCTGAATATAGAAAAAGAGGTCAAAACTGAGCTTGAAGACTGGGGGTTAAGGGCTCTGAGTTACTCTGATAAGAATAAATCAGCCTAGATAATGAGTTGGCAAAAAAAAAAAAAATGACTGCTTTTTTAAAAAATAGAAATGTCTGGTGCTCGAGCCCTGTGGTTTAAAACTGTTTCCACCTCTTCAAAATGTCAGTGTTCACTCTGTACATCTAAAAACCTCATCTAAAGAAAATATGTTAATGTATGTGTGTAATATATAGAAAGGGCTGAATATCTTTCTGGGCATGTCATACAGCAAAAAAAAAAAGGAAAGCACATGTGAGATTTCAAATAATCCTGAACAGAGTAATCCATTAAGAAAAAGATCTTGCAGCCAGAGATGTCTAAGAAAAAGATAAACAGTCCCTTTGAGATTCAGGCACATTAAATTTGGATTTTAAAGACCAGATCCTCTTGGAAGTTATCTAGGTGACCTCACAAAATTCTATATTTATAGCATTACTGTCTCACCTGCTACAAATTCGAACTATAAAAATACCTGTGTGCCCAACAGCAGTATGACAAACAGTTATATTGTATTTGTATTAATCAATTCTGATTGACTATATTCTTAAAAGAACATAGAGCCACATTATATAAGAATAAAAATATAAAGTTATATTACATTCATTTTAAAATCCATCCTTATTTCTCTAGCCTTTAATATTACTTCTTTCTTTCATATAGAGTTTTAGAAGTCAGAAACAAACAATTAATCCTAAGTTATATAATTTTAACTATTTTTAGACAAACACATTCCTTCTGAAGCCTCAGCTTAATTCACATATATTTATGAACCATGTATTGAAAAGTAAAGCTTGGAGTGATCTAAGCACTAGTAGCCCCATCCCCTAGTTTTATATTATTTTCTTATTTTATTGTAGAAATACTCATTAACTACATACTATGTGTCAGTAACATTATACATCACTGTAAAATAGATCCAGAAGGGGTTATCACTGCATATAACCAAGACAGAACTTACCTCCCTCTCACAATCTTGACTCTACCCAACTCCACCAAGGTGGCCCTCACACCTCCTATACATTAATCTCACGTTGTCTTAGGTTTCCACAAAAATCTCTCTAAAAGAGAGTAGTGTAAGTGTCTTAAACTATCTTTTCCATCTCCTCTGCTTAACTATGATAAAGATTTAATACTTTTGTGTTTAATCTTTATGAAAATGTACCCTTCTTATGGCCTTCATTTCATTTGGTTCCCAAAATCATTGAATTATTTTAGTACATACTTTCAGATATCATTTCAAAACTGAACAGTGACAATAGAATAATTACATGTTTATATAAGAGAGCCATTTAAAACTGTGGACTATTTTACTTCTACATGAAGGAAAAAGTAAAACTCATTAATCATGTTCTGCAGAAGGTCGTTATTACAGATGCTACAGTGAGTTGCCATAGTGGCAGAGACGTTTTCAAGGTTTTTGAAAATACCAATTACAAGATATAGTTGGATCATTTAAAAATGTTGTTTGGAACATTTTCAGAGGGCTGAATGTTTTTTCTGGTTCATATAATTACCAGAAGCAAGTGCTTCCTTTAGTGGTCAGTCAGGTGAGCACAATCCTGCCCACATGAACAGGGTGGTTCATGTGTATAGGCCTCCATTAAGACAGAAAAAAGTCAATATTTTACAAAACTGAAATTACACTCATTTCTCTCCCTCTGGAAGTAGTCAGCCTGTGCAAGTGCCTTTTGCTTCTAGTCATTGTGTAAAAAAAGTGACAAACTTTTCCTTTACGATTTGCAAGGCCTGGAATACGCTAAGATAATTATGCCTTTTTTCCCTAATCTTATTCATCAAGATTGATTTAAATAAAATTGCTTTTGCCTAAACTTGTTACTACAATGGTCTCAGAAAAAGGAAAAAAAAGGGTTTTACATTTTGACTACTGTTTTTGACATATCAGTGGTGATAATTTGAAATAAAAGTTTCCCACTTAAATTTAGTGTTATCCATGGACACATAGTGGTAAATAACACACACTGGGGACTACTGAATGGTGGAGGGTGGGAGGAGGGAGAGGATCAGGAAAAAATAATTAATGGGTATGAAGCTTAATACCTGAGTGATGAAATAATCTGTACAACAAACCCTCATGACATGTTTACCTATATAACAAACCTGCACATGTACCCAAGAACCTAAAAGTTAAAAAATATAAAAATACTAAAAAATAAAAAGTTAGTTATCTTTTATAAACATATATTTTTATTACCATTGTTGTAGACAGAATAATGGCTTCCAAAGATGACCGCATCATAATTCCAAGAATAGGTGAATAACTTACCTTACATGGCAAAAGTGACTTTGCAGATGTAATTAAGTTAAGAACCTTGATATGGAGGGATTATCCTGGACTAGTCCAATATAATCACAAGGACTTTCATAAGAGGAAGGCAGAGGATCAGAATCAGAGAAGGAGATGAGACAATAGGAAGCAGAGGTTGAGGTAATACAAGTACATGAGCCAAGGAATGAGGGTGGCATTTACAAGGAAAGGCAAGGACACAGATTTTCCTTTAAAGACCCAGATGGAACAAAGCCCCACCAATCTATTTTAGATTTCTGACCTCCAGACCTATAAAAGGACAACTTTGTTCATTTAAGCCATTAGGTATGTAGTAATTTGTTAAAAGCAGACATAGAAAACTAACAGAACCATACTCAATATTTTTTTAAATAAAAGGATGAATTCTGCTGTCACATTTCTAGGAAAATATTATAGATTAATATTTATGACAGAATAACTATTGACATCTGTGGGGAAAAGCAAGAGAGATCAGATTGTTACTGTGTCTGTGTAGAAAGAAGTAGACATGGGAGACTCCATTTTGTTCTGTACTAAGAAAAATTCTTCTGCCTTGAGATTCTGTGACCTTACCCCCAACCCCGTGCTCTCTGAAACATGTGCTGTGTCAAACTCAGGGTTAAATGGATTAAGGGCGGTGCAAGATGTGCTTTGTTAAACAGATGCTTGAAGGCAGTACGCTCCTTAAGAGTCATCACCACTCCCTAATCTCAAGTACCCAGGGACACAAAAACTGCGGAAGGCCGCAGGGACCTCTGCCTAGGAAAGCCAGGTATTGTCCAAGGTTTCTCCCCATGTGATAGTCTGAAATATGGCCTCGTGGGAAGGGAAAGACCTGACCGTCCCCCAGCCTGACACCCATAAAGGGTCTGTGCTGAGGAGGATTAGTATAAGAGGAAGGCATGCCTCTTGCAGTTGAGACAAGAGGAAGGCATCTGTCTCCTGCCCGTCCCTGGGCAATGGAATGTCTCGGTATAAAACCCGATTGTATGTTCCATCTACTGAGATAGGGAAAAACCGCCTTAGGGCTGGAGGTGGGACACGCGGGCAGCAATACTGCTTTGTAAAGCATTGAGATGTTTATGTGTATGCATATCTAAAAGCACAGCACTTAATCCTTTACCTTGTCTATGATGCAAGACCTTTGTTCACGTGTTTGTCTGCTGACCCTCTCCCCACAATTGTCTTGTGACCCTGACACATCCCCCTCTTGGAGAAACACCCACGAATGATCAATAAATACTAAGGGAACTCAGAGGCTGGCAGGATCCTCCATATGCTGAACGCTGGTTCCCCGGGTCCCCTTATTTCTTTCTCTATACTTTGTCTCTATGTCTTTTTCTTTTCCAAGTCTCTCGTTCCACCTTACAAGAAACACCCGCAGGTGTGGAGGGGCAACCCACCCCTTCAGACATCATAGTGGATAAATTAGTTTTACCTAGCCTAATTTAATAAATCATCTGATCATCTGTATCAGTCATAGAAATACAAATCCAATCGGTACCATTTCTCTTCATTTTAAAGAAGAAATAATAGTAAACTAAGAATTTCTGATGGCCTATTCCTTTCCCCAGGTCTAGTAGTAAGAAAAGGTTTTCATTTGAAAGGAGGGAAAAATTTATGATTCATTGGGGAAAAAAATAAAGCATTTGTATATGACCACTTATTTCTTTAGAATGAGTGTAATAGCCTCTCATGAGCACAGTAAATGCATAAATATGTCTTTACAAAAGGAACCAAGATTGGTAGCCCTTCGAAAAAGTTTGCATTTATTGCAGTGACAGTAAAATGTTGCCTAGACTTGTAAGAGCTGTGATAATATTGCTTTACATATGTATGTTAAAGCGCTGTGAGCATGGACAGCATGAAGAGAGTCATGACCACAAGAGCAGACAGCATTCATCCCTCAAATGCTCCAAGTCAATGAAAAAGAAAAGAGATTCTAACATCTTGAATGTGTGGGGATATTTTTTCGGGGCAGCTTTGGAAAACGTTAGAATGATGATACAAATGAACAAAGATGGGATAATTCCTTGCCATTGGTAAGGGAATTAAAAAGTACTCTGTTAAGAAAAGCAAGTGTGTTTCCCAAAGTGAATAATAACTCTGAAATTGCATAGTCAAGCTGGCAATAACCAGAACGGGTTACAGAGAGTAGGTAGAAAATTAGCAATACTTTGAAAGGCTACTATATTTTTCTGATTTTTTAAAACTAAATGTAACTCAGTGCTTTTATAACTATTTCTTTGGTAGCAGATATACTGTTGCCACACAGGGCAATGCCCTTAATGTTTCTGCAAGAGGAGAATACATTCTCTCCCCAGTAACCACAGAAAGAGTTGATAGAGTTGATCTTTAAGGTTCTTTTCTTGATTGACATTCTACAATTCTATGCCTCTAAGTTACCAGTTAAGCAAAGAGCATCCCAGTTGAAATATATTACTTTGGTCAAACAACAGAATTTGAGAGTATAAGTTAGGAAAAGCTTAGCCATAAATATTCTTCTGTATTTACCCTTATAGAATGGCTCCTTTTTTGTCCTTAGTCCCTATTAGAAGGAAATGCAGAGATAATCAGGACATTTGGACTAAATATGAAACTAACATGGAAATGAACTTCTAGAGAAAGGGAAAAAATCTAAAATCTTAAATTGGTATATCACCATTACAGAAACTGTTTGCAACCCTGAGCAAATTACAAATCAATTATTGGGAATTCTCTCGATTTACCTCAAAAAGTGCATTTGCATGTGAAATACAGGAGTCAACCAAGCTGCTAAAGATAATTCTTTTTGTTTACACAGCATTTTCGCCTATGTGATTTCAACAGATTCTCATAACTGCCTTCTTAAATGAGTATTACTAAACTTAAAGAAACTGAGGCCCCAAGATCCTAAACAAAAGTCACACATTCAGTAATTGGAAGAATCCAGAGGTAAACTCATGTCTTTGTACTTCAGGACCAGTCTTCAACTTTCAACTATTTTTTTCATTTGACTAATAGGTTATTTTGATTTTGAGGCACATAGCCAGAACAACCAAAGGAAAATGCCAACAAAAACCACATAATCCCAGTTACTGAACCTTACAGAAACATTGTGAGAAGTAAACAAAAGAGGTGAAAATGATGTGAATGTTATAGCGCCTAACATAGTAGCCCAACTGTCAGATGGACTCAAGATCAGAAGCAGAAAATTGATTTGAATAATTAAGACAGGTTCCTTTTTCATAGGTGACCTGAGAAGAATGCTATGTTCTGATATCACAATAGCTCTTCAGCATAGCCTTAAGCCCCATCCATGACATTGGTAATGGCATTGAAAAGTGAAAAACAACAGAAAAAGTTTATTTTATGGAAGAAATTAAAAGGGTCATTTGATAGGAAAGCATTGCAGTAATTATCACAATGCATATAATTATCTTTTTTCATTACTAATCACTGTTCATTCTGGCTGGTTCACTTAACTGGCTATATTCAATCACTACATCTTTTTTCAAAATTAATTTAAGTAAATGTAGTGATGTCAATTATAAGCAGTGAATCAGGGAGAAACTAATGATTATAGATAATGCAATTGTCCTGGTTAGTTGCTCTAAGAGAGTGTCCTAAAGCTTATGAAAAGGAAAGCACAAAGGCAACAGTCAGTGGACATAAATATGCTAATATCATTTCTTTTCCAAGCCTTATGTTTTATTTAATATTGATTAAGTATACAGAGGGTACTAGTATCTGGTCAGAACATGTAAAATTGCACAATCTTCACCAGTAAGGACCACAAGGTGCGTAAGTCACAGATAGCTATCGATTTTAAGCTTTTATTTCTAAAAGTTAATGCAGGCCGGGAGCGGTGGCTCACACCTGTAATCCCAGAACTTTGGGAGGCCGAGGCGGGCAGATCACCTGAGGTCGGGAGTTCGAAACCAGCCTGGCCAACATGGCGAAACCCCCTCTCTACTAAAAACACAAAAATTAGCCAGGCATGGTGGCAGGCACCTGTAATCCTAGCTACTTGGGAGGCTGAGGCATGAGAATCGCTTGAGCCCAGGAGGTGGAGTTTGCAGTGAGCTAAGATCATGCCATTGCACTCCAACCTGGGTGATAGAGCAAGACTCTGTCTCAAAAAAAAAAAAGTAAATTCAGTTAAAAATGTCTATTGGGTGTGGTTAGCAAAACAGCATAGTGACATTAGCATAAGATACTACTAATTAACAAGGGCATCGGGCATAAGTATAGAGTTGAATTTTTCTGAGAGAAAAAAAAATATTTTCACACACTGGCTTCAGTCACCATACAGATTCTCTCTATTGTTCTACTTCAATAACTTGCCTCAAATCTCAAGTTAATCATTTGATAAAAGGGGGAGTCCCCGCTCCCTGCTGTCCTGATAATATTTTGCCAGAGCTGGGGTAAGGTTGGCTGAGTCCTCTGTAAATTGGATTCATGCATATATATTGGCTCCAATAAAGCCTTCTCAGTTTGAGTCATTAGTAGCATCCTGTCCTTTATATACACAGCTGCAGTTCTGATTATATATCAGCAGAGCAAGCTCTCAGAATCTATTTTCTAGTAGAGGCAATACATTTGTATTAACCGTGACTATACTTTCTCTCCCAAGCAAGGCAGCCAACCAGGGTTGGAAATCCAATTCGTGGTTCGCATCAAGCCAGCAAATATATTTTGACTGAAGTGCCAACTGAAACATCTCAATATCAAGCCCAGTTGGAAAATGCTCCATAACTAATTATCATTGTCTGCCAGAAGCTCAGAAGGGGTGAATGATGGCAAATGCATAGCACAACTTTTTTACCATTCCTGCTGAGAACCCAAATTGCTACACTGATATTTTTATACAGTTTTAATCAGCTGAACATAACAGTAACTTCATGAAATAAACAACTAACCAGGAAAAGACAAGAGGGATCCCTGAGAATATTGAAAAACTAATCATGATTTTTTATATGTTAATTTAACAATTTAAACAACTCAAAGGAGACATAACCTTAATTTTCTTATAGAAATACTAGGGAAAACAAGAGTTAATTCTGATCAAATGGAAAGAACAATCAAATTTAGTCCTAAAGATTACCCCTTCATTAACAATACTAGCATTACTAATCTTTTTTTAATTACTTTAAGTACCAGGATACATGTGCAGAACGTGCTGGTTTGTTACATAGGTATATGTGTGTCCTGGTGGTTTGCTGCACCTACTGATCCATCCTCTAAGTTCCCTCCTCTCTCCTTCCACCTCCCAATAGGCCCTGGCATGTGTTGTTCCCCTCCCGTGTCCATGTGTTCTCATTATTCAACTCCCACTTACTAGTGAGAACATGCGGTGTTTGGTTTTCTGTTCCTGTGGTAGTTTGCTGAGGATGATGGCTTCCAGCTTCATCCATGTCCCTGCAAAGGACATGATCTCATTCCTGTTTATGACTGCAAGGTATTCCATGGTGTATTACATACCACATTTTTTTATCCAGCCTATCGTTGATGGGTATTTGGGTTGGTTCCATGTCTTTGCTATTGCAAATAGTGTGGCAATAAACATACCTGTGCATGTGTCTTTACAGTAGAATGACTTATAATCCTTTGGGTACATACCCAGTAATGAGATTCCTGGATCAATTGGTATTTCTGGTTCTGGATCTTTGAGGAATCACCACACTGTCTTCCACAATGGTTGAACTAATTTACATTCCCACCAACAGTGCCAAAGTCTTCCTATTTCTCCACAGCCACACCAGCATCTATTGTTTCTTGACCTTTTAATAATTGCGATTCTGACTGGCATGAGATGGCATTTCATTGTGGTTTTGATTTGCATTTCTCTAATGAACAGTGATGTTGAGCTTTTTTCATATGTTTGTTGGCTGCATAAATGTCTTCTTTTGAGAGGTGTCTGTTCATGTCCTTTGCCCATTTTTTGATAGGTTTGTTTTTTTTCTTGTAAATTTGTTTAAGTTCCTTGTAGATTCTGGATAGTAAACCTTTGTCAGGTGGGTAGATTGCAAAAATTTTTTCCCATTCTGTAGGTTTTCTGTTCACTCTGATGACAGTTTCTTTTGCTGTGCAGAAGCTCCTTAGTTTAATTAGATCCCGTTTGTTGATTTTAGCTTTGTTGCAATTGCTTTTCACATTTTTATCATGAAGTTTTTGCCCATGCTTATGTCCTGAATGTTATTGCCTAGGTTTTCCTCTAGGGTTTTTATGGTTTGGGGTTTGATATTTCATCCACCTTGAGTTAATTTTTGTATAAGGTAAAAGGAAGGGGTCCAGTTTCACTTTTCTGCACATGGCTAGCCAGTTTTCCCAGCCCCATTTTTTTAATAGGAGATCTTTCCCCATTGTTTGTTGTCAGGTTTGTCAAAGATCAGATGGTTGTAGATGTGTGGTGTTATTTCTGAGGTCACTGTTCTGTTTCATTGGTCTGCATGTCTGTTTTCGTACCAGTACCATGCTGTTTTGGTTACTATAGCCCTGTACTATACCGTGAAGTCAGGTAGCATGATGTCCCCAGCTTTGTTCTTTTTGCTCAGAATTGTCTTGGCTATTTGGGGTCTTCTTTGATTCTGTATGAAATTTAGAGTAGTTTTTTCTAATTCTGTGAAGAATGTCAATGGTAGTTTGATGCAAATAGTATTTAATCTATAAACTACTTTGGGCAGTATGGCCATTTTCATGATTGATTCTTCCTGTCCATGAGGATAGAATGTTTTTCCCTTTGTTTGTGTCCTCTTTTATTTCCTTGAGCAGTGGTTTGTAGTTTTCCTTGAAGAGGTCCTTCATGCCCCTTGTTAGCTGTATTCCTAGGTATTTTATTCTCTTTGTAGCAATTGTGAATGGGAGTTCATTCATGATTTGGCTCCCTGTTTGTATATTGCTGGTGTAAAAGAATGCTTGTGATTTTTACACATTGATTTTGTATCCTGAGACTTCGCTGAAGTTGCTTATCAGCTTAAGAAGTTTTTGGGCTGAGATAATGGGGTTTTCTTTTTTGTTTTTTTATTTGTTTGTTTAAGTTTTATTTTACCTTTAGTGGACACATAATTGTGCATATTCATGAGGTACAGTGAGATGTTTTGATATATATAAAAATTATATAATGATCAAATCAGGGGAATTAGCTTATCCATATCCTCAAATTCTTGTCATTTCTTTGTGATAAGAATATTCATAATCCTCTCTTCTAGCTATTTTGAAATATATATTATTGTTAACTATATTCCCTATTGTGTAATAGAACATCAGAACTTGTTCTTCCTATTTAACTGTAATTTGTATATTGGCCAATCTCTCCCATACCCCCGCTTTTCTCCCTAGTCTCTGAAAACCACTATTTTAGTTTACCTCTTATAAAAATCAACTCAATATGGATTAAAGACTTACATGGAAGACCTGAAATAACTATGAAACTACTAGAATAAAACATAGGGGAACGCTTCATGACATTGGTCTGGGCAAGAATTCTTTGGATGAGGCCTCAAAAACACAAGCAACAAGAGCAAAATAGACAAATGATGTTACATCCAAATTTAAAAGCTTATTACAGCAAAGGAAACAATCAACAGAGTAAAGAAACAACCCACAGAATGGGAGAAAACATTCACAAACCATGTATTTGACAAGGGCTAACATTCAGAACATTCAGGGAACCCAAGCAACCCAATAGCAAAAAAACAAATAATCAGATTAAAAAATGGGAAAATGATCTGAACAGACACCTCTCAAAATAAGATATTTAATTGGTCAAAGTATATGCAAAAATGCTCAACATCACTAATCATCAGGGAAATGCCAATCAAACCATGATGATATATCATCTCACTCCAATTATAATGGCAATATTCTTTTTTAAAAAATTATACTTTAAGTTCTAGGGTACATGTGCACAACATGCAGATGTACGTTGTTACATATGTATACATGTGCCATGTTGGTGTGCTGCACCCATTAATTTGTCATTTACATTAGGTATATCTCCTAATGCTATCCCTCTCCCATCCCCCAACCCCACGACATGCCCCAGTGTGTGATGTTCCCTGATGATGGGGTTTTCTAAATACACAATCATGTCATCTGCAAACAGAGACAATTTAACTTCCTCTCTTCCTATTTGAATATGCTTTATTACTTTATTCTTGCCTGATTGTGGTTGCCAGACTTCCAGTACTATGTTGAATAGGAGTGGTGAGAGAGGGTATCCTTGTCTTGTACCAGTTTTCAAAGGGAATGCTTCCAGCTTTTGCGCATTCAATATGATATTGGCTGTGGGTTTGTCATAAATATCTCATTATTTTGAGATATGTTCCATCAATACCTAGTTTATTGAGAATTTTTAACATGAAGGGATGTTGAATTTTATCAAAGGTCTTTTCTGCACCTATTGAGATAATCATGAAGTTTTTGTCATTGGCTCTGTTTATGTGATGGATTATGTTTATTCATTTGTGTATGTTGAACTAGCCTTGCATCCCAGGGATGAAGACAACTTGATCATGGTGGATAAGTTTTTTGATGTACTGCTGGATTTGGTTTGCCAGTATCTTATTGAGGTTTTTGCATCAATGTTCATCAAGGATATTGGTCTGAAGTTTTCTTTTTTTGCTGTCTCTTCTAGGTTTTGGTATCAGGATGATGCTGGATTCATAAAATGAGTTAAAGAGGAGTCCCTCCTTTCAACTGTTTGGAATAGCTTCAGAAGAAATGGTCCCAGCTCCCTTTTGCACCTCTGGTAGAATTCGGCAGTGAATCTCTCTGGTCCTGGGTGTTTTTTGGTTGATAGGCTATAAATTACTGCCTCAATTTCAGAACCTGTTATTGGTCTATTCAGGGATTCTACTTCTTCCTGGTTTAGTCTTGGGAGGGTGTAAGTGTCAAGGAATTTATCCGTTTCTTCTACATTTTCTAGACTATTTGCGTAGAGGTGTTTACAGTACTTTCTGATGGTAGTTTGTATTTCTGTGGGGTCAGTGGTGACATCCTTTTTACTATTTTTTATTGTGTCTATTTGATTCTTCTTTTTTGTCTTCTTTATTAGTCTAACTAGCATTCTATCTAGTTTATTAATTTTTAAAAAATACAAGCTCCTGGATTCATTGATTTTTTTGAAGGGTTTTTAGTGTCTCTATCTCCTTCAATTCTACTCTGATCTTAGTTATTTCTTGACTCCTGCTAGCTTTTGGATTAGTTTGCTCTTGCCTCTCTAGCTCTTTTAATTGTGATGTTAAGGTGTCAATTTTAGATCTTCCTAGCTTTCTGATGTGGGCATTTATTGCTATAAATTTCCCCCTTATCACTGCTTTAGCTCTGTCCCAGAGATTCTGGTAAGTTGTCTCTTTGTTCTCATTGGTTTCAAAGAACTTATTTATTTATGTCTTAATTTCATTATTTACCCAGGAGTCATTAAAGAGCAGGTTGTTCAATTTCCGTGTAATCATGTGGTTTTGAGTGAGTTTCTTATTCCTGAGTTCTAATTTGATTACACTGTGGTCTGAGAGACTGTTTGTTATTAATTCCATTCTTCTGCATTTGCTGAGGAGTGTTTTACTTCCCATTATGTGGTTGATTTTAGAATAAGTGCCATGTGGCACTGAGAAGAATGTATATTCTGTTGATTTGGGTCTGTCTATTAGGTCCACTTGATCCAGAGCTGAGTACAAGTCCTGAATATCTGTCAATTTTCTGTCATGTTGATCTGTCCAATATTGACAGTGGGATGTTAAAGTCTGCCTGTATTATTGTGTGGGAGTCTAAGTCTCTTTGTAGGTCTTTAAGAACTTGTTTTATGAATCTGGGTGCTCCTGTATTGGGTGCATACATATTTAGGATAGTTAGCTCTTCTTGTTGCATGGATCCCTTTACCATTATGTAATGCCCTTGTCTTTTTTTATCTTTGTTGGTTTAAAATCTGTTTTGCCAGAAACTAGGATTGCTTTTTTTTTTGCTTTCCATTTCCTTGGTAAATTTTCTGCCATCCCTTTATTTTGAGCCTATGTGTGTCTTTGCATGTGAGATGGGTCTCCTGAATACAGCACACCAATGGGTCTTCACTCTTTATCCAATGTATCAGTCTGTGTCTTTTAATTGGGACATTTAGCCCATTTACATTTAAAGTTAATATCGTTATGTGTGAATTTCATCCTGTCATCATGATGCTATCTGGTCATTTTGCACACTATTTGATGCAGTTTCTTCATAGTGTCATTGGTCTTTATATTTTGGTGTTTTTGCAGTGGCTGGTATAGGTTTTTCCTTTCCATACTTAGTGCTTCCTTTAGGAACTCTTGCAAGGCAGGCCTGGTGGTGACAAAATCCCTCAGAATTTGCTTGTCTGAAAAGGATTTTATTTCTCTTCTCTCACGAAGCTTAATTTGGCTGAATATGAAATTCTCAGTTGAAAATTCTTTTCTTTAAGAATGTTGAATATTGTCCCCTAATCTCTTCTGGCTTGTAGGGTTTCTGCTGAGATGTCTGCTGTTAGTCTGATGGGCTTTCCTTTGCAGGTGACCTAGCCTTTCTCTCTGGCTGTCCTTAACATTTTTTCCTTATTTCAACCTTGGAGAATCTGATGAGTATGTGTCTTGGGTCAGTCTTCTCATGGAGCATCTTAGTGGTGTTCTCTGTATTTCCCGTGCCTGGAGATGTCACTCAAGGAGACTAGAGAACAGCAAAGATGGGTGCCTTCTCCTTCTTCTGGGATCTCTGACCTCAAGGGACACCAAACTGATGCCAGTAGAATCGCTCCTGTATAGGGTGTCTGACAACCCCTGTTGGAGGGTCTCACCCAGTTGGCTGGCATGGGGAACAGGACCCACTTAACGAAGCACTTTGACTGTCCCTTGGTGCAGGGGGTGTGCTTTGCCGGGGGGAAACCCGCTCGTCTGTGTTTCCTGGATTTCTCAGAACTACCAGGAGGAAAGGCTAAATCTGCTGGTCCACAGAGACTGTGGCCACCCCTCCCACTGGGGGCTCAGGCACAGGGAGATCAGGGTTCTGTCCCTGAGGCCCTTGCTGGAGTTGTTGGAGTTCCTGCAGGGAGGCCCTACCCAATGGGAAAGGATGAGTTAGGGTCAGGCATGAAGAGGTGCTCTGGCCACGGTGTGCCACAGCTAGCGTGCTGGGCTGCGGGGGACACCTCTTGAGACCAAGCTGACCTGCCTCCTCTGGCTCCAGCAAGGGGAAAGCACGGCCTGGAGGTATAGAGATGGCTGCCGTCCTTCCCCTGCCCAGGGAACTTAGCATATTGTGCAGTTATCAGTCCCAGTGCTGGCTGCTGCCCCTCCCGCAAGGAGCTCAAAGGGCTTAGATGGCAGGCAGCCACAGCTGTGCTGCTGGTTGCCCCTCCCCCTGGGAACATGACAGGCTTAAGCAGATTCTAGCGGAGAGGCTGTTGAGAATCTGTGCAGCTCCAGTGTTGGGACCCTAGGCCTCAGCGGCATGGGTTCATGAGTGGGATTTTCTGATCGTGGGTTGCACAGTTCCATGGAAACAGGACGGTTTCCCTGGCTGGGTAGCACACTCACTCACCGCCTTCCTTGACTTGGGAGTGGGGGCTCCCCTGCCCGGTGTGGCTCTCAGGTAGATCGCTGTACCACACAGCTCTTCCTTCCTGTCCTTAGATCACGCCAGCTGCCTAGTCAGTTCTGATAAGAGGACCTGGATGCCTTGGATGCTGATACAGGAATACACTATTATGGTTCTTTTCAATGGGAGCCTCCGATCTTGGCTGCTTCTAGTTGGTCATCTTGGCCCTGCTGTGCTAAATTTTTGTTCTTGTTTGTGTATGAGTGTCTGTGTGCTTTTCTAACGCTCAGACCATCACAAGTAGCACATATCACAGTCAAATAAAGTATTATAATTCTATTCTAAGTAAGGATTTTGAATTCTTAGGAATTAAAAAAATTGTAAATGTTATTACTGCACCTTATAAAAGTATACAATCTGAAATGGAGAAATATAACAACCACCTAAGGGTAGTTTTCTAAATGCAGAATTATTTTTGTAACAAGATACAGATAATACAGATAATTTTAAATACCTGCTTTAATTTAAATTTGAGAAAGAAATAGAAATCGGTGTTTTATTTAAAGCTAAATGAGTCTTTTGGGGATTTAAAACTTTCCCTGCCACCTTCCTTTGTTGCAAAACATGTAAGTAGTTGCTGTGTGTTTTATTTTCCAGTTATCCATTTCTTTTCAATTTCCACAGCCCCATAAAATTGCTCAAGGCAAACAAGATCTTTGTACATCCAAACAGACCTCAATTCTCAAATTTTACTCCTAAGACTATCATAAATTAAAAACTACAGTCTGAGGACCTAAAGAATTTGCCAGTACTCCAGTTTGTTTACATGAATGATTATATGAAAAATATAGCATAAAAACATGTATCTTGTTTATAATGACAAAAAAGCATAAAAGCATACTTAGTAGAAAAAAACACTAGGAAATATACAAATGACATTAGTTGCATTAGATATTAAGATGTGGCACCTTAAACATGTCTTGTCTTTGTAAAGCACCTATTACACAGATTTCTAATCTTCCAAGACTCTTCATCAACAATTAACTGAGGTTTGTAGCTTTTGATGTACTTAAACTTTCTTACAATGATTGAATAAAAACAAATTTCATTTACATGCCCATATGTATGGATGTATGTGTGTTTGTGTGCATGTGTAATTTTCTATTTCTACAATATTTTCAAAAGAGTTTGGCAACATAACCACATAGGCTATCACATGTAACAATTTTAGCCAGACAATGCAATGTCTAGTTAGAAAAAAAAAAGGCAATATGAAGATACTGAATGTTATTATATTTAAAACTACCCATTCCAAAGAATTTGAGACTCTCTAGATCAGTAACTTTTTAACCAGTTAGACCACCTTATGATTGATTTTGACTTTTTTTCTAAAGCAATTTGACTACTAAAATTGCAACACTGTGTTACCAAACACATTTTAAATTGTAAAATACATTCTAAGTAACATTATCTCAGAAATGCCATCAAGTTGAGTCTGTTTGAGTTTCTTTTTCGTACATATTGACTCATTAAAGCTACATATTTTGCTTCTCCCTGACCTCACCATGTATATTAATACACGCTCCTCAACCTATAATGGGCATCCTGATAAACCATTATAAGTATAAAATATTGTTAAGTTGAAAATGTTTTTAATACACTGAATCTACCAAACATCGTAGTTAGGCTAGCCTACCTTGAATGTACACTTACATTAGCCTGCAGTTGGGCAAAATCATCAAACACAAACTCTATTTTATAATAAAGTGTTGAATCTTATAATTTATTGAATACCATACTTAAAGTGAAAAACAGAATGAGTGCATGGGTATACAGTTCCTATTGCATGCTTATTGCTCTCACTCCACTGTAAAGCCAAAAAATTGTAAGAATAACCCACTGATAAGTTGGGAACCATCTGTATGGTTCCTTCCTATCCAAACCAATGTTATAAAGTCACCAGATCTCAACTGGAAGCAATTGAGTTAGTTGACTGTTGGAATAGGCTCTGCTGAAAAATTAGGATGTATCTATAAGCTCTTAATTAACCACAGTCTACCTATAAGGACTTTTCTCCCAGCAAAGGTATCACACACTAAAAGGAAATAAGATTTATAAGGAAACTAGCTTTCATTGCAGGTCAAGAAAACCACATCTCTTTCCAGGGAATGACCAAGTCCTCCACTCATTTATTAAACAAACTTTTCTTAGAAAACTTACTGTGTGCCAGGCACATGGAAGATATTGATGAACAACAAAACTAAGACTGACACAGTTCCTGCTGCAACACAGGTGAGACTAGTTGAAAGAGACAGACATAGGGAATAACAGTATCAGCAGACGCATGAAATAATGAGGGTACACAGTAGGCGCATCTTACTTGGAATTACAGAGTTAGCCTAACCTAGAACATTTTTAGATGCCTAAGCTGAGAATTAAAAGATAATTAAAGTTAGCCAGTCAAGGAAAAGGGATAACTGTTTTCAGAGAAAAGAAACAGAATATCCAAGGGCCTAGATAATAGAGAAAGAAAATGGAATCTCCGCACTCCAAATGCACTATGCCAAAGGGAAAGTTAGCTTGGGAACAAAATGTCGCAAAAACTGCTTACCTTTGTCCCCAAACAGATAGCTATAATTTCACACGTTTACTTTATCTTATGTAAAATGTGGAGGTACTGTGTGCAATATGACTTTTTCCTCTACTTTGTCTTTTCACATGTAAAATGTAGATTTACTGAGCACGAATCAGAGCCTCTCAAGAATGCAACCACTTGCCTCCTTGCCTACCCTCACTTCTTTTTCTTCTTCCCCTCCTGCTTGCTCTTTTTCATTTTTAAATATTGAAGTTCCCAAAAGTCTCTTTGGAGAAAGCACAACTCACAGATCCTCCTGTGATGTGTATTTCTTTTTCCTCAATGTTTCTACAACCTTGGCAGAATACACCTCGAATTGATTGATACCTGCTTCAGTCACTTTTTGGTTTACAGGAGCATGGTACAATCAGGAAATTTCCAAATTCTAGAAGAGCTCATGAAAGTGGGCCACCCAGGCTTTCATGATATTCAGGGGTTTGTGACCTGATAGACTAAACAAAGAACTAGGCAACCATGCCAAAGATATGGATGACACCTGACCCTTCCGTATCCCACTAATTAAAACAAGTAAGGCTCTTCATTGCTGAAGCAAATTTTATTGGTTCAAGAAATAAAAGGAAACAGCCTAGAGTTGTTTAGTAAGGGACCATGGCTTGGGTAAGTACTAAGGAATGACAACAAAGCAACATCAGCAATCATCCATTAACCAAAAGATTCCAGTCTTGCTGGTGTTTTCAATACTGAGGCAGAAATTTGAGAGGTACAGACCAACCATCAACATGCCCCAAAAATAATGGTTCATTTGTTCCTTTAAAATACCAGAGTCCTTAGAGAATCCCTTAGCTAGCCTTCCAACAGCTAGGTTAGTTTCAGAAGCCGTGGCATTTCAAACCTCGATAGCTCTCAGAAGACAGGACGAAGCCTCTTTTCTTCCCTAATATTTGGAATCACAGACTTGTAGGGAAGCTATCAAATTTTAAAAATTAAGTATCTTAAGTTTAAAAAAAAATTGATCGGCATGCTAAAATCATTTCCAGAATAAAAGAGTCCATTACAAGGAAAAAAAACATGACAAACATATTCTCTTTGTCACTATTTAGCAATGAAAAAATAAGATAATGATATATTGAGATACAATTTAGACTTTGGGTTTTAGGCATCTAAATGAATATATGAATATTAAATATAAATATAAAATATAATAAAAACATACATTAAAATATAAAACTCAATACTTCAAATTTATTTTTATATACACACATATAGTTATTAAAAACATTATCAAATAAGATGTCTTCATAAACTTTTATCACCTCACAGAAGTAAACCAAATACTTTAGTGATGTGTTTAGCTTCTGAGAGACGATTGTTAAATTTTAAGAACTTTTGCATGCTGGTTAACATCAGCCATAGCGGAGCAAAATTGTCATATGCTACAAATCAGAATTTTCTCCACCCTGAGAGCCAGATATTAAACATTTACTAGCACACCACTAGTAACATTCATGAAAAAGTATAAAAGAAAGCAAATCACTTTAATATTATAAAGTTGTTTATAAACACACATATGTTAGTGTATAAAATGTGTATTCTCAATATCTTTCTGAGGTCACATTGTAAGATGGAATCCAATTATTTTCTTATTTACTAATGCTCCCCCCCATAATTATGTGATATGGAAAATTGATGATAATAGTTAAAGCTAAACAGCTTGATGCTCAGATTTGTTTTTTCCAAATATTGGCTAATGTGATTATCACAGTTTGGTGTAGTTAACCTATGTTTATCTATAGTTTGGAAGCTATTTAACTGACTATGAAATAAGTATGAGCTCAGGAAAGAACACCAACTTTTTTGCCAGCTTGCCATATATATGTATTTGTGTGAGTGTATATATATATATTATTTTATATATATTAAAAATTATATGGCTATACACACAACTAAATTTTATAGCTTTAGAAGTTATTTTATATATATGTATATTTTTATATACTCTATATAATATATGTATGTTTTTATATATAAATATGTATATTTTATTTGTAATATGTCTTTTATATACATATATCATTTCATACATATATATAAAATAACTTCTAAAGCTATAAAATTTCAACTTGGCAGTTCTTCAGATCTCAGTGAGTAAAGAAAATCAAGCCAACTCTTAGTAAAGCAGTTGAGTAATTTTTAAGCAACGGAGTTTTGAAATGATGAGATGAGCTTATAAAACTTTTTTGCTAAGTTTCAAGGTCAGTCAAGGAGGTAGCATTGCAGTTGAAACATACATTATACATAATAACACAAAGCATAGAAAGAGAGCTATTCAGCTCCCCTGGACTCAGGCTAGTTAGAAGTGCAACAAATGTTTGATGGAGAAACTCAAGTCTTCATTGCTTTAGTTCCATTCATTCCTCACAAACTCATAGTGTGGGGTTGAGATCAAGCTATCAAGGTCACGTTCAATAGAAATATACCAATTCTTAGAATTATGAGCTTTAGAAATTCTCCTGGAGATGAATTGCCCCTGGAGTACAGTGAATAAACGTTAAGTGCCTTGCTGCCTGTAATTTCAAAGGCTCCTTTTCCTACATTAAGCTCTTTAAAGAAGGGCTTTTAAAAACATGATACATTTAAGAAGCCACACCTATACTGCCCTGTAATACTGACATTGGATGAAAAGGTCACCTTAATATATACCAATGTTCAAGGATCAGCTCCCGTGAGGCACATTTTGCACACACGTTCTCATTCCTTTGGTACATCTTGTCAACAAAGAAATGTACAGGTCTTCATAGCAGGTCTTTATAAAGACCATGTAAATATAGAAGTAACCCCGTCTACAGGTTCTCAGAAACAAAGGGAACACTTACAATTTGACCTAGATTCACTCTTCAAGTATGAATGCCATTTTAGGGGAAAAAAAATCCACCTAAATTTTGCTGAGATAAAATGAGATTGACAAGTGTGGAGGAAAGGGTTAACATCAGAAATAAAAGGGAAAATTTATAACTGTTAATGTATATGTTATTTTCTTTAGTCCTCACAACAACCTCATGAAATAAGTATTTTATTACCATTTAATAGATTTTAATAGGTTTAATAATAATTAATAGTCAAAATACTGAGGCTTACAGACTTTGGGCAAGGTGACAGAGGTAATAAGTGAGGAGCCAGGTTGAGCCCAGGCCTTTCTGTCTCAAAAACCTGGGCTCTTTCCACTATTGTGCTATGATTTACAAACAAAAGTGAATGAGGAAGTAAATATCAAGAGTTATTCTACAAGATTTTTAAAGAATTCCCTCATGTTTATTATTTTCCTTATTCCATTTGTTTCCCTAGAATAGTTTGTAACAAAGTCCCTTAGAAATCAAAACACATGACCTTTGTTTTGATTACAAAAAGAAATCTTTGTTTTGCAGCCTAGGTACTATTCTGTAGCTAAGCTTATAGAAAGAGGTCTTACCAAGGTGAAAAGTAGATGATAGTATAAATTAAGAGGATTTTTAAAAAGTAGGCCCATTTCTTAGGGAACATAGCAAGGAAGCAGAAGAATGTGGGAATTTCATTGGGTCCTAGATAAGAAACCAAGTCAGGAATTACAGTCCTATGTAAATTCCTCAACATAAACTTTACTGGTCCTTGTTTCAGCATCTCAGTCTATATTTAAGCTATTGATTTGTGTTTTGATCTGTGCATGTATCCATTTCTCCAAATCATTGCCTCTGTTATCCTCCTGATGAATTTATGTGTCAATTAGGCTTCTTACGGCCTTGGAAACCTCGCTTACAAAATTATTTTCTAGGATATCCCTCCCACCAAGTCTGTTCTGGATTCACAGCTGGGATACAAACAGATAGGTAGTAAGTAATACAGAAAGTCAGACACTGGACTAAGGACACTGATGCTCAGAATCTTAGGATTAATACGTTTCCAATTAGCCACGTCTCCTGCTTTCCTCCCTGTACCTCATTCCATTGCAACCTGTTGGAGGAAAGGTAGAAGTGAGGAGATGAGGGGTAAGAGAATAAGAAAGTTAAAAATTCCTTCTCTATTTTAGCTGCTGTGCTAGACATGTTTATGGAATTTAATTTCATTTAATAGTCACAAAGCCTCCCAGACTCCCCTTTTGTAATTTCCTTCCCTTTGTCTTCAAAATTGACTATCGTTATTTTAAGCACACCCCTGTCGTATAAAAAGTGTAAGTAGGGTAGGTGCTGATCAAGATAATAGAGTAAGTTTTTGCTTTGATAGTCCCCTGTTCTATAATTACATAGCAATGATGGGTAAACTAGAAAAGGGAAAATTGAAAGACATAACTGAGATCAATTATCTGTGTGAGATCAATTATCAAACATCTCTGTGATAAAAACATAGAGCAGAAACACAATGAGACAGGACATGTAACCTGCAGAGTTATAGAATTCAAAAACAAGCAGGGTTTTCCAAAAGTTCTATTCCCATAATTGGTACAGACCAACATGGGTAAAGCCAGAGGCATTAATGGAATCCCCATTATTCAAGAAAGAGAACTAGGAGCCAAAAACCCACTTCCAAATACTGCCTAAGCCAGTGGCTCCTGGAGAGCTCTTTTCGTCTTTAAAACCATGTATTTGATAGGTCTCATTGTAACATTGGCTTAACCTTCACCTTAACTAATACTGCAATGGAAAATTATTCAAAATACTAAAGAAAAACAAAATCAACCAAAAATTTTAGACAATGCTAAACTCTCGAGAGTGAGAGAAAATTAAAGACGTATTTAGATATCAAAGACCAAACTGCTCACCACACACAGCCCCCCAACTAAAATAAGTTTTAAAGAATGAACTTCACCAAAAAGAAAAATGAACCCAGTTGATAGAATGTAGTAAACAAAGGCATTGATTGCTCAGACAATACATCATTTTGTCTCTTAAAAAGACTGATGAAATATAAATTTTATTTTTTATTTTTATTTTTTAAGTGGTAGGATATTTATTTTTTAAAGTTTTTTAAGATCATGACTGAGGTCCAAGGAGGCTAAAAATACTATAAAACTTTAAAATTTGTTGGAAAGAATTATATAAGTATATATATTAAAACTTTAAAGACAACCACTATGCCTAGAAGTACCATGTATTTTTTTCATATCACCATGAAGGAAAGAAACGAATAAAATGATATAAATCAAACATTTAGCAGGAAATAAGTGGCAAAAAGCAAAGAAGAAGCATGGTAAATAGAAAACATGAGCAAGATGGTTGAAATAAATCTCAATATATAAGTAATTACAAAAAATAAAAATCACTTAAATTTATTTATTAAGAGGCAAGGACTATCAAATGGTTTGGGAGATGCAATTTAGCTTACTAAAGACCATCCAAAACTAAAGGAATGAAAATGAACAAATGGAATCATCTATATTTAAAAAAAGAAAGCTGTTACAGCAAAACCAACATCCCAGAAAATTGAATTTAAGGCAGAAAGAATTAATACAGATAAATAGAGATACCACATAATAATGATGGGAACAAACCATTAAGAAGAGATTTAAACTTACACATAGTAAACAATGTATCTTCAAAATATAGGTTGCAAAAATTTTTAGAATTATCAGGAGAAATTTATAAGCCCATAATCATAGTGGATTATTTTAACTTATTTCAGAAGATAACTCAAGCACACAAAATGACTAAGGTTATAGTAACTTTACACAACAAAATTAACATGCGTGATCAAACAGATAATTATAGAACACAGTATCCCAAAAATACAAGATATATACATGTTTTCTAAGTACTGGAATGTTTTCAAAATATGATCATGAAATTAATTCATAAACTCCCAATAAGTCTTAAGGAAATACTAATAGTATATACAGTATTTGGAAGCTTAAAAATGACTTTCTAAGTCGTTATCAGGTTAAGGTAAAATCACAAGAGAAAACAAAACTATTTGGAACCAAAAGACATTGAAAGTACTGTCTATTAAAATTTATAAAATGCATTTCATACAGTTTTTAGAGGTGAATTTATACCGTCAAAGGCAATTTTTACTAAATAAAAACCACTGAAGATAGAGTTAAATATACATCTCAAAACACCAGAAAATATATTTAAAGAAAGTAGAAAAAAGAAAACTAGAAAGATATAGTAACAAAATAGAAAAGAAAAACAAAGAATCCACAAGAACAAATGCTAGTGCTGTCAAAAAATAAAATGAAATCAACTTACCTCTGACAGATTAATGAATTTAAATGTCATAAATAACTAATATTAAAAACATAAAAGAAAATAATTACACATGCAGTAGTGATTAAATATGAGACTAATACTATGAAATATTTTATGTAAAAATTGAAATTGTAAGTCAACTTTATTATTTTCTAGAAAATTTTAATCAACAAAATTGACATGAAAAGAAATTTTAAAAAATGAAAAAACATAATTGTCATGAACTCTCAAGTATCTGAGCTCTTACCCTATTAACAAGCTAATTAGTTAGCCTGCCAGAGTTTCATAAATGTTGGCAAAAGACATGAGACTCCTGAGTCAGAGACAAGGGACAGTTCATTGCTCATAGCAATAGTGGTAGCCAAAGCATCATTATTTTCTTGCACCGGTTTCTTGAGTGACCAATTCCCACAGAACATATAAAGACAGTCAAATAATACCTGTGTATGCCGTGAGGTATAAGGAATGAAACCCTAGCTTAGGGAACCTGAAACTTATCTAAGGGTTGCAAAGCAGGCTAACTCATGGCTCTGGAGGGAGATATGACTGTTATTATACTTGCATATATAGTATGCAGTAGAAGTAGTGAATGTGAAATAGTAGTACAAGTAGAAAATGTGAACTTTGTTCCAGAGGAAGACAATATCTCTGCCTTCCAAAGATGTTTGCTATATAAACATCCATGAAAATATAGTCTGGGAGAAAAGGATAGTCACTGTCTCACTGAAAGATGTACAAACACATGACAACAAAGAGGGAAAGAAGACCAAATAACTAGTCCACTGAAGGCAGCTGATGAATCCGTAAATATGTAACAAGGCTTCTCAGGGTAATGTGGGCCAGTGTGATAAGAATCACCCTGAGTTCTACCCGCTTAGTGGAACAACTACATTCACTTTTAGCAGCCACTGAGATTGGACAGGAACAGCCACAGCAGCCCAGTGGACAATATTGAGTTGCAGCTTAGCTGAAACACCAGTGAATCAGGCTCAAGTATTTATCAAAAAACCTGTCAACTGATGACTCCACCCAGACAGTGAATTTGGTTGAAATGGTTGAACGGGGAATAAAGTTTCCTCCACAGCTATCTCTGTCACTTTCATGTAAAGCCAAGATGGTTCCAATGTCATCTAGCTGTGCTCTTGATTATATCATTCCCATTTGACAAGCTAGGTTTCCTGGGCCCTTGCCACATTCTTATTTGATGAGTTTGCGTTGATCCACCCCAAATATGGTAACATGAGGCCAGAGAGTTGCCAGGCCTCCATAGCCAGGCATTCAGTTTCAATAAGAGCCTAGCAGAAAGCTAATAATTGCTTTTCAGAAAGGGTGAACCTGAAGGCCATGTCAGGGAGATAAAGATTTCAAACCCCAAGATGTGCCTCTATTTGAAATCTGCCTCTTTTTTACCCAAGATTTTAATCAGCAAAATCATCAGTCCCAGTAACTTGTAGTTCAAAGGAGCCATTGCAGTTGTGGGAGCTCCCAATATAGAGACCATGAAACAATTCACAGGACATCTTCCAATACAACCTGTAGTTTGGGCCCCACTTAAAGGATGCTGATCTGTGTGTTAGTTGATATAAAATACCAAGTAGAATATCTAAATGAGGTATATACTATTTCCAATATCCAAATTGTTCAATAAAGTGCAGGGCTTTCTTTTGGAAGAGTCTTCTTTCAAAGACCTGAAAAGACTGCAGTTTTTCTTGAACGTTAAAGAAATTGAGCATTTTGAATCTACCCAGACTGTCTCCATAAACGACTTGGCAAGAAGATCCCTGAATTTTCTCAGGCTTCATCACGCTGGCAGAAGTGTGATAATACTATATAGTCTGGGGCATTTAGGCTGAGCCCTCTTACTTACCAGCCAACACAACGTCATCTATACAGTAAATGTTTTTTGACATTAGAGAGGAGAGGCAGTCATGCTAAACACTCAACTACTCACTAGTCACAAACCACAAGGGAATTCAGATGTCCCCGGGGAGTACTGAAAACATATACTGGAGACCTTGTCACATGGCCATGAATTGGTCTTGGTCCTTTGGTCACATCTGAGATGACATAACAAGTGCCATCGGTCTGTGCAATGGGTCTGGCACACCTGGGCATTGGGAGCAACAGATGAATACAGTTGGTGATAAGCCTCTACCTCCTGTTATTCTTTTTGAGTGGCCACGTAAGGCTGCTATATTGATATATTGCATTTCTTGCTTTCAATGTACCTTTTCACTCTTAGTTAACCAAAACCTTAATTAAATAAAGGCTTCCCTTTATCGTCCTAGGATTCTGTATCCTTTGTGTTGGACCACAATGGAAAGAACAAAAAGACAGTTTGGAAAATGGTTTAAGTGCCAGAGTGTCAACATTTTTTGTGCTGGTTCCCTGAGCTCAGATATTAACAAGGCAATGCAAAGACTGCCAGATAACACTTGAATATACAATGGATTGCATTACAGGAGAGGAACCCTGAGTTTTGGGAGTCAAAATTCTTTATAATGGGTAGTAAGTCTGTCTGCCCTTTGCTCCACAGGGAAATGGTGTCTGTCTTCTAAGACTGATCTTTACAAACATCTTTTAAAGGATAGTCCCAAGCAAAGACATCACAGCCTTGCTTGCAGGATATTCAAAACATGAGGATCTTTGACCCATGTAGAATTTTCTCCCAACAAATATATGAAAGTTTCTCTATCTCATAACTTGTTGGGTAAATGAAAATAGAATAATATAATAATAATATAATACCCATTGGGTTAAAAAAATAGAAGTCTAAAAGTAGGAAGAGTTGGCTAAGATATGGAGAAATAGAAACCCTCAAACACTGCTGGTAAGAATGTATATAGATCCTCTCACATTGGAGAGTAATCTGGCAACATTTAATAAAGCTGAAGATACTCATATTCTAGGATCCAGGGATTCCACCTCTTGATCTATATGTCTGTGAAAATCTTGCACATGCTGACAGTAAAAAAAAGTTGTTGTCAGTGTCCCTTGTATGCATGACAGCATTGTGTGTAATACAGAAAAATTAGAATCAACTTATTTATCATGGGTAAGTGATTAGGAAAATTTTGGTCTATCCATAAAATAGAAGACCCTACAGAAATTAAAATGAATAAACAAGCACTATAGGGAAAATCATGTACACTCCTCAAAAATATTTTAAGTTTAGCATGCCATTTATATAATTAATTATATTAATTTATATAAGAAATTCCAGAAGGCTTTAACTATACCTATAATATTTTCTTTAGTTTTGAAATGATCTAAAACAAATGTAATACAGGATTAAATTTTCTAAAGCCTGGGTGTAAGAGTAATTATTAAAATACTCTATATTCTTGCTTATGCATTTGAAATATTTTATTCTAAGAATGATTACATCAGTGTGAGTTCTAGGGTGCTAATTATTCATTATTCATATATACTATCATTTAGTCTTTTAGCTGAGAGAAGCAGTGTAGCTTTATGATTAAGAATCTGTACTCAAGCTAAAAATGCCTGAGTTCAATTACCAGTTCTATTTCTCCCCATTTTTGTGACCTTTAGCAAGTTAACTAACATTTTTTTCAGCTTTGGTCTACATGTAAAACTGAGAAAATAATATGCCTTACATTCTGTGGTTGTTAAAAAGTGCTACATGTGGCAATAAATGAAAGTGGCCTCCCTAACCTGTAGAAAGAACTTTAAAAATTTTGACTGATATTTGACATGGGGAACAATTTAATGTATACTTCATCAGTTCCCTCTTTTATTTTTGGTCATAGCAATCTAATGTATCTTTACAACCTCTTTAGGGAAAAGGTCTCTTTAATCAGAGGTGTGGCATATTTTTCTCACTTCTTTCAACACACTTTTAATGCCAGCTGTCCATTCATCTCACTGTCCCCCAAAGACAATCTGCTCAGTTCAGCCTAAGAGGCTATGATCATTCTGCTTCCTCAATCTTTAATATCTTTCCATTCTCTGTGGCTTATCCAAGTCTTATTCTCTTTTTTAGCCTACCTCAGGACCCAGGTCCACAGTGAAACTTTCCTACATCTTACTACTATATTTTGCTCTAAATAGCCTTGTCTGAACAAAAACACATTACTATTAATAACCAACAATCATTTCTATGTTCTAAATTTTATGGCACTCTATAATTTTAAATTACTTACCTATTATGTCACTCAGGCTATTGAGGTGAAGATGAGCTACTGTGCAGAACTAAGATTATATCTGCTGACTCCAGGCTTTGCATCACTTCACCTGTGAAGTACTAAGACCTTTTCCAAAAGTTCATTTTTAAAGATACACCTCACTATTGTTTTTGAATAAATATTCCTTCTATATAAGACTTTCCTAAAAACTGAAACCCATAAACTTTTAATTGCAAGCATTAACTGGCTAGTAATAATAAAAGTGAGCTATTAACTATCTTATGTCTTGTCTGAGCACTGGGTTCAGAAGTTCTATTCTGTCCAGATACAACAGAATTCTGTTGTCTAATAGTGAATAAATGTGTAATAGATAGTTTCCATAGAAAAACTTGGATAAGGTTAAAACATAGAAAATTTGTAAATTTATATATGCTGCATCCCCTAACATCAAGAAACGATCACTCAAACAAAGTGTCCATGCAAGCTGATGGGAAGCTCCTATATAGAAGGATAACAGAAGCCTCTGACTCTCTAAGGGAGACCTGTTCACATTTAAATCAACTTGTAAGCCCATAAAGTAGATACCTCGCATCAGTCTCAGAAGAACTAATCCTCTCCCTATTCACTGTTTCTCTATCTGTCGGACTCACGTGACCAAAAGCCCTGACCTTAGGGAGTTCTCTTTGGCCTAGGATCAAAAAGTGGAGGTGATATGGACAAGGGAGAGATGAGAAAACCAGAACCAAAGTCTTTCTTTGTGGTTGCTTAAACCCTGCATATACACTTTGGTTGTAAGGCCCACATGTTAAGCCTGCTTAATTTTATCAATACTATGTAGATCAGGACAGACATTACAAATTTCAGCTAGTAGAGAGACCTAAAAATTTCCATTATCAATAAGAACCTAGCCAGGGGCCATTTCTTAAAAATATCTAGTCCTTATTCTGCTTTACGTTGTTGTTTGCCTAATCAGTGTGTTTGCTTTATTCTATTTCTAGCTAGTTTGCAATTTACTCAATGGTAAATCATATCCTTTATATTACATTGGCATCATCGATATTGCTAACTTAAAATTAGTTTAAAATGTGTAAATTTTTAAAATCTTTTTGTCTATATAACTTTCATTGTAGGAAGAGCATGACAATGTTTAATGTCAAATTAGCCATGTTTCTAATGGCTAATTTGTGATGATTAAAAGTGTGACAGAAAAAAATGAAAAATGAGTGGCTATTAGGTTTAATCCATGTCCCAGTGAAGGAGATAAAGTAAACAGTAAAGAAGAAAAAGGGAATACGTAAGTTAGGAGGAAGAAAAGAAATAACAGAGAATTTAGTGAACAGAACTGACTACAAAAATGGATTCAGCCAAGCTAGATATAAACACAGACCAGAAAGCTGAGAAATACTCTTGATAAATTCTTCATCTTGAAACAGGAAAAGTGGATCCAATTACGTCTAACATACTCAAGTACAGTTATACTCTTACAATAAGTGATAAAGATTTGTGAGCTATCCTTTCTTTAAAAAATAACAAGAGATTCTAGTGGAGATGAAGATATTATGTATATAAGAAGGGAATTATTCCCAGAAGGACTATTGGAATACAAACACCAGGCATAATAGGCTTTTCTCAAAGTCCATAGATAAGAATTATGGCAAAGATAATAAGATAAGAAAATTCACTTTTGGGGAGCCACAAGCATTCTGAACTGAGATCGCTTAGCCTTCAGATACTGAACAGAGCCACCCACAACTGAAAAAATCTAAAACTTACTTGAGAAGCTATACAAAGGTGAATTACATAACTATGCAGTTTTCCAGTCCCTTTCTCTTATTTTTAGATTGTAACTTATGATTCCACTTTTCATGTGATTCAGGGTGTGATGATATTTACAACTGTCTGTTATGGAAGGAGCAGAAAGAAGTGCCAAATGATTATAGTTCTAAGTGCTCAAAGAAGCTTCACCCACCTCTGTCTTCACCTCATTTTGAGTCTCTGGTTTTGGCAGAAGAATAATGAAAAATCATTAAATTAGTATGGTGTTGTTAAAAAAAATTATTAAAAGATAAGGAATTTGGATTCTAATGTATGTAGAGGTCCTAAATACACCTATTCCCTGGTGCCCAATGGGTCTAAAACTTTAGAGAAGAGACGTTGATGAAAGGGGAACTCAAGGACACCAGAAAATAGACCCACCTCCTTCTCAAGAATGTTAACATTACCTACATTCAGTGATAGTGTCCATGAGCTTCCCTAGGAGTAGCAGGGTTCAGTCTTTGGCATGGCTTCAAAGGTAAAGTTATCAAGCTTGCCTCCATGTTAAAGGAGGCCAGTGACACCAACAAAACAGAACTTTCCATGGCCCTGAATTTTTACAAAGTCTGTACACGTAGTATACCAGGGATGACTGGCAAACGAAAGGGATAGAATGTACAGAAGTTAACAAATATGACAAATTGTGATAATTTAGGTAGGAACATAATCAAAGAAAGTAGTAAAGATGGAATGGGGGATGTGGTAAAATAAATTCGTTTCATACCAGGAAAATATTTTTTTCCTGTAGACACTTAGGGGTTAGTAATTTTTCTGAGGAGAATTACAATAGGATAAAAGTGGCATTTTTAAATGTTTAATTTATTGTTGATGATATATAGTACAAATTGATAATTATGTTTTAAATCACATAATTTATAAGAATATAACCTATTTTCAGTAGGACCTTTATACACATCAACTTTTGTCCCTTATGAGCCTGGAATTCATCTACAAATATTAAACTTCCAAAGGATTTGTTTTTGTGATATTCTTACCTGTGCAGTCTCAAATTACATATCACCAATGATACTTGTACTTAATAGTATTGAAATTATTCACTTTAGTTTTATGAGATTATTACAAAGTGTTTCAGAGTATATTGACCTGGCATAAAGATTAATGAGGATAAGGACAGATACATAAATAGACATAAATATGCAAATATATGGATATATCACTTATGTTCCTTATAAGTGAAATAATTAAATTATCTATGTATTTGTTTTATAGTGCTGCTTCTCAAAACTTGGATAAAAAGTCAAGAGACGTTTTGGCAAAGTTAAAAAATAGTGATCATGAATATCTCTTTTTCTGATCTAATGACAGTTTCTCCCTTAGCTTTGGAATATTTCATAACTGAGTCTTTGAGGGAAAACTCTTAATTTGAAGAAAATGTCCTTTTCTTATTTAAGATTGCTTAGTAACTCAACCAATCCAAACACTGTAAGGATGATGTGATGTCCTTTATTTGTTATATAATGGCATACATGTGTGGCAATGAATTCATCTTTTCTAAATTTCAAGTTTCGTTTCAGTAGATAAAAGTCTGATTTGGGCAATGTTCCCAGAAGCTCCTTTGGGGAAAGTGACACATTTCAAAACTGCAGAATTACAGTTGTATTTGGTTAAAATAATTATTTTGAAATGGTGGTTTTCTGTGTCTGTGTTTAAAGAATTGTTCTGTGTACATGAGCTGGTATTTGAGAGATGACAAATTATGTGGACCCCAGGATGTATAAAGCTGCAGCTAATAATTAGCATAGGTGTTGAGTCCTAACATCAGCCAAATGTATCACATGACCTTATTTGACGTTAGGACACTACTCTGCTTATCAAAGATAACGTAAACCAGATACCTAGGAAGCACAGCTGGATCTAGGACAAATATGGCACTGAAAAATATCTACTTCTATTCTGAAGTGGAAAGTAATCTCTTCTTAAAACTAAAAGCCTCTTAAAGCAGCAAGATGTATAATTATATTGTGGTCTTAGTGCTGTATCCACTTCCACAAATGAGTTAAGTGAAACAGGAATGACTCCAGACTGAATATGATAAGTGAGAAAGATATAATTGTCTTTTTAGATGACACCAGCATTTTTCACAGAAAAAAATATTGAAATATTTGTCAAAGATAAACAATGTTAGTTTAAATTCAGTGTTTGGCCCAAAATTGTTTTCTTTAAAGTTATGCGTAGAGTGTGACATTTCCCTGATAAAGTGGAATCATGATATTAGAAATGCCCTTAAAGGCTTTTACTACACATATATAAACATCACTTAGAATGTATTATTAAACTTTGAACTCTTAACAGGTTCCAAACAAAACAAAAATGGCAAAGCATTAGATTCATTTCTATATATACTAAATCAAAATTCAGTTAAAATTATATTCTCTATTGCCAAGGGAAAAATGATGGTAAAGGAAAAAGGGAAAAGAATGGATGACTCATGATGTCTTAATGAACTGTTGGCTCCTTAGACATAGTTTTAAAAAATGCAGCTAAGAGGAGGTTGACACCAAACTTCGGAGTATTAACAGTGTTTAGTCTTCCCATTATGGATTCTGTTCCAACATTAGTGATGTTTTTCAACTACAAAATAAAGGCACTATTGACACTGAAAAAGCGAAAGAAAACTTTAAATAATTTTAACTTTTCTGTTTAAAATAATAAGCAAAATAATTATATTATATTATATATGTCCTTCTCTATTTCATACAATTAATACAATGAAAATCTTAACTTCACTCAAAAGATTTTTTTAACCAAGCTAAACCTCAGCATCAATTCTCACCAAAGTGTGGATTACACACGAAGATCAAGCTTTTTTTTTTTTGAGACAGGATCTCACTCTGTCCCCTAGGCTGGAGTGCAGTGGGGTGATTTCAGCTCACTACAACCTTCCTCTCCTGGGTTCAAGAAATTCTTCTGCCTCAGCCTCCCAAGTAGCTTGGATTACAGGCATACACCACCATGCCTGGCTAGTATTTTGTTTTTAGTAGAGATAGGGTTTCACCATGTTGGCCAGGCTGGTCTTGAACTCTTGGCTTCAAGCAATCCGCTCACCTAGGCCTCCCAAAATGCTGGGATTACAGGTGTGAGCCACCACACCTGGCCAAAATCAAGCTTTTAAGTACATATCTATTCAACTTTATGAGTTTTATAATTTATTTTTAAAAAATACACCTTATTTCAAATCCAATAAATACGACCTTCATGATTTTATGGCTGTCAAAATTAATTTGGGTTGTATCTTTTCCATTCTGTACTATAGATTTTTAAAACACATTTCTCTTTCCAACCTTTCTGCTACTGGTGTCTCTGGAAAAGGTCAATAGATATCAATATAAAACCTTGTCAGTACAGGCTAAAATTATTCCATCTTTTATCCTCTCAATAAGCCCTAATAGTGACAGGGAAGTCTATTTATTAGTAAAATTCCAAATGGAGATATTTTGGTGAACTTTTTACACATGAATCCAATTAGAACGCATTCTCTTTAGAGTAAAACTTTGTATAAGTGAAAGGTGTCATGAACATTATGGTGATCAAGCAAGCATTTGTTGACTATCTTTTATGTGCCTTGCCTTGAAGGAATCACAAAATGAGTAAGATATAGACACTGCTGTCTGGGGACCAAAATATTCTACAGACCTAAGAGAGGTAAAAATAGTTTTAAAATAACAATGTTAATTTTATTAAAGAGCGTTTTTACCTATAATTCCCAAACATTTTAGACATGGCAACAACAAGAATTTTTTCTGTTTCTATTAATATTTAGATATATTTTAAACATCCCTAGCAGTGGAAAAAAATAGTGGTCATCATTTGTTCATTTTAACATATCTTTCAAATTATTGGAAAAGCCAAGGAGAGTTTTTATTTGACTTTATTTGTTTCTCTTTACCATTCATCTCCCAGAATTAAGACATTAATTTTAATGGGAATACCCCACTAAACACCAACTCACCTCACTAAACAGCATCTCAAAAGAGTATTAACAGCTTATCCTCTTTCATTAACATTTAAATTTAGAAATGTAAGCTTTGATTTTTAAACATTTCTTGAAATCACTTAAGTGAAAACATGCCAAGAGATTTTGGTCCTTAACACAAATTATAATGCCAATAAAAACTACCAATGTGTTAACTAGAAAACCCTGTTAGAAATGATTACCATATGAATCCCATGTTAGATATATATCCACGTTGTGGAACCTGGATCACTGAAACTTCTTGAACTGGATAAAGATTAGGATTATTTTTCCCCTCTTTTTTATCATGAGATGAACTTTTAATTGTACACAGATTTGTTAGCTTTATTCAGAGCAAAATAAGCCCCTGTTTCCAACTGCATTTTTGATGTTAGCCAGTAAATTATTTTTCCTTAGGGAGGTCATGTGCAATATTCATTGCTAAATAATCAGTAGTTAAAACACCAAACAGTTACTATGTGTCACAGACTGTGCCAAGCATACTTTGTGGATTATTTCATTGAAATCTTACAACCAGCCTATTTTTAGGTAGCATTTCTCTTCCTATTCTAAATGTGAAGAAACTAGGACTTAGCAAGTTTAGGTAACTTGTCTATGGTTCAAGCTAACTAACAGATAGCAGACCTAGGATTGGAACCCAGGCCACCTGAGAACTGAGCTAACACTCCTAACCACTATAATACAATACTTCCCCAATGAAATGAGCATCCCTTTAATTTAATAAGCATTGACTATTTGCCAATATATCATGCAGGAGTAGGTATTGTTCTTATTTCATTACAAAAGAGATATTGCTTACTTTGTGTATACAATTGCTATAGACTCTAACCAATCCAGGTAAATTAGTGAAAGATTCCTTGGAATAATTTTTAAAAACAAAGATTTAGTTGAGAAAAAGAGATCCTACATTATATAAATCTATATTTTATAGTTTTATAATATATAATTGAAATACACATATACACACATAATAACATTTTTGAAAATAGGCTGTGATTCTGTTCTGAATCATAAGTTAATGGCTGGGAAGCTTGTAAAATGACTTTTCTGCACCCTAATGGAGACTCGTTAGTGATAGCTATTGCTACACTATGCCCAGACCCACTTCAGTACAACATACTACCCCATGGCTCATTGTAATCATTGCCAGTGCACACAGATCTAGTTATTCTGTTACATGAAACTTCATATACTAACTACAGTGAGGTATCATTCTACTGCTTTGTGATTGCTCTAACCGCAGTCGTTAAATACAGACTTCAGTGATTTCTGTTCCTGTTTGAAGAGCCGTAAAAGTGCGATAGCTTCCAGAGGTATTGCTCTTATCCACCTTAAGTCTTGAATAATACTTATTGCAAAAATACTTCTTTGTATAATTGCAGTGAAACAAGTTTTTTAATCTTCTTGGGTAAAAGATGTAAGAGAACAAATTCCACATTGAACACTACCTGCGAGTTCCTCAGCACTCACAGCTCAAGTACCATGACTGCCTGATTGTGATAATCAATTGTAAGGTTTGTCACAAGCAGTGTGTAATTTTTAACAGTGAAAGTTCTCAGAGAGTCCTTTCCTAATCATTCTAGCTGACACTCTTCCCTTCATTCAGTTTGCAAACTCTGGAGTATTTATTTCCTTAATTTCTGTGCATCTGTTCCATTAGACTACACTCTACTAGCTAGGAACCTGGCTAGCCTCTTAGTAGTATACTCCTAGTGCTCAACAGAGTGCCCTTTCTCTAACAGTGTTTGTGGAATACAGAAAGAAAGAATAAATCTTGTGCCTTCTAGTTCTACCTTTCACAGTGAAGTCACAGTTGCATTTTTGAAATGCAAATCTAATCCTTTGGATTTTTCTTTAAACTTTCCAATGGTTTCCTACTTTCTAAGGTTGAAGCTTTAAACTTTTAGAAAAATATGTAAAATCTTTCATTACTGCCTATCTTTTTCTCCCATCTCTGCACTCAACTTCTGCTCCATGATTACAGAAACACTGGTGATTCCCGCCAGACTTTGAACATGCTATCCCATATATCTTGAAAGTTCTGCTTTCCACCCAACCCTTAGCTTCTGACATGTGACTAGCAGATATCTACTCCCTCTTTAATAGGTCATTTAATAGTTCTGTGCTAATCCTCAAGGACCTCTTCCGTAATACTTTGTCTTCCGGAATACTCCCAAATAGAATTACATTATCCTTTGCCTATGTTCTCACTGCATTTTGTTCATACTCTTATTATAACGATTATTATATTACATTCATTGTTTATTTTGGCTTCTGGCTTCCTACTGGATTATAGTCACCTTAAGATCAGGAATGAATTTCATCTACGTATTTTCAGTTTTTAACAGAGAGCCTACATCAAAGAAGGCCCTCCATGAAAACGTAGTTAGTGAGTGAGTGAATGAATGAAGGAATAAATGAATGCCTCATTGTTACTTAGTGCCCATGCTTGGATAGATGAAAAACTCTTTCTTTACTAATTTTTCTCTATAGGATGGAAATAAACTCAACCTAACTCAGAGTATTATTCTAAGAAATGAATTTAAATGCACCCTCTAAATTGAATGTACTACAAATGCTTGTTCAAGACATTTACATATTAAAGGCAATTTATAGACATGAATTCAGCTTAGAATTCTAAATCAGAGAGCTTGCAAACAGTATTATTTTTAATTGTTCATCACACTACACAATACAGAAATGATTCTATTTTTTCTTCCAGAAAACATGCTACAAAAGACAGTGAAGCTTTATCACATCTCACTATTCTTGGTTCCATGCTGGGGAACTGCCACATACTAATACTTCAGTTAGAAAATCTGGGATAGGATTTAAGATAAATTCCTCATCTACTAACTCCTTTAAGAAAACTGATACTAAAGAGTCATTGAATTTTACAGCTGGAGGGGTCTTTTAAGAGAAGGGCAAGCTTCCAGTATTCTTTCTTAAAGACATTCCAGAATTTGAAGGAAAAAACCCAAAGATTGTTTCTTTTATCTTAGGTAAGGAGTGGTGAATGTAAATACCCTGTGAGAATTAAACTGTGAGAGTTAATTATATCAAGTTCCTTATCACAACTATCAACTTATCTATACAAAAATGACTTTGTGGTACTGTAGCAACACATTTCTCCATTATTCCCATAACAAAATGGCCTCAAAAAAGGAAATTACACTCACTGTGTTTTTGAGCTGTGTAGCACAAACATGAAAGTGTAATAGATTTTCACAGCACTTAAAAGCAAAGATCAGAAAAGATATTCTTTTCCCCTGGGAAAAAAGTCCTAAAACATTCTTCCATTCAATAGAATAATTTGCCCTTAATGTTGGATTTTTTTTTAACTAAATGCTCTTGAGGGGCTAGTGGTGAATGACAACACTAATAATGATTAGCCTAATCAAAATGCAAGTCCATTTCTCCAGTGTAGACATTAAGGGAAATGAAAAACTTCTTCACAGAAGAAAATCTTGTATTGTTCTCTAGAAAAATCTGAATTTAGAAAATAAATAAATAATGCAGAGTGTTTCAATTCAAGAGGGTTCTCTGAAATAGCACATGGATTTTTTTTTCATTTGATGAAAAGTAGTGTCATTGTGGACCTTGCCTTTAGTTAAATCAGTCCAATTCTGTGGGGTTGTTTTTCTCTAATGGTTTGGAAATTATACTATGTTATTTACAATGTTCTAGTGATTATCCTTAAATATATAACAATCATTTAAATATAGAGTTTTCCTACCAAAACCCCCTGAAGACCTTTCTATGAAAAACAACTAAAATTCTAGATTAAATAAATAGAAAATATGTTTAATTCTTCATTAAGATAGCACAGAAATAAGCATCTATCAAAATTGATATGATTTCACTTGGGATGAGGATGTAAAAAGCCACAAGAGAATGCTGCTTTCACACTAATGAGGGAAAGACAGATCATCAACAAAATCATAATTTTTCTAGAGCCTTTCAGACAGCTGAGGTCTCCAGGCAACCAAGAAAACTGAATTCCATAGAATGACAAGCCTATAAAAGGAGAGACAGTGCACACAAGTCATTTCACTTATGTCAAGGCACAGGAGAAACTGGTGGCCATCAAACACACAGACAAAAATAAATGAGCTAAAATGTTAACAAATTGTCAAAGCACTAGAATGTCAGCGGTAATACTCGATGTCCCCAGAAACAGGGGTTTCTGCACTGACTCATAAGCTCTTTTCCATGTCCTTCCCCCACCACCCAAGTGCTCATAAAAAAGACCGGTGCAAGAAAGGAAATGGGAGAGTACCCTCGCTGCTAAGCTTCTTTGCACTTTTTATTCTATAAATGAAAAGTTTTAAGTCATTTGAGGAAGAGCAGCAAACTCTCTCATTCCCCAGAACCTAGGTAAAAATCTATTGTTTGAGTACATGTGTAGAATGAAAACTCACTGCCACTAGCACTGGGGCAGAAATAGTCATCAACTTCAGGACACAAGCTAAGGTCCTTTGCTGCTGGGAGATGTATATAAGCAAAAACTCTATGCCCATTGGGAAAGGACAGAAAACCTTCTTGACTCTGGGATCCAAAACCAATAGCAAGCATGATCAGCTAACACTATGTTCTGTCTCATAATCTCATGAGAACAGTCTGTTCTCATGCTGCTAATAAAGACATACTTAAGACTGGGTAATTTACAAAGAAAAAGAGGTTTAATAAACTCACAGTTCCACATGGCTGAGAGGCCTCACAATCATGGCAGAAGGCGAATGAGAAACAAAGTCATGTCTAACATGGCAGCAGTAAATAGAGAGCGTGTGCAGGGAAACTCCCCCTTATAAAACCATCAGATCTCATAAGCCTTATTCACTATCACAAGAACAGTACAGGAAAGACCCGTCCCCATGATTCAATTACCTCCCACCAGGTCATTCCATGACATGTGGGAATTGTGGGAGCTACAATTTAAGATGAGATTTGGGTTGGGAAACCACCAAACCATATCACACTAGATAAGGGGCAAAAAAATTATCCCTGCCCTAGATCAACCACAAACACAATACAGAGTTCAGCTACCATGAGAGGGAAGGGGAAGGAATGCAAGCAAAGCTCCACCTTTGAGGCCTAGGAGCACAGAGCTTTCCAAATATTGAAGATAGACAAGAAAAGAGAGGGGGCAGAGGAGGAGGAAACATGACCTAATTCTTAACATGAGACTAATACCAAGTAATAAGCAATAGCAGTCTACTGCTAGAGAAAGAACAAGAGCATCAACCAAGCCTCTACTCCTTGGCTCAGATGTGAAGAAATTTCTAAAGCTGAGAGTTGAGTAAAAACACTGATCAAAACACAAGGTAACCCCTGCCAACCACGGGAGAAATGTGAAGCCTGTGATGCACTGACGGTGAATTCCAATATTACAACACCAAAACCAAAACTCTGCTCAATTGATGATTTCTTTGATTCATACTAATGTTCTGACAGAAGAAGAGGCATTTCCACCATACATATTGTTACCCTAAGGTTCTACTATTCTACATATTATGTCAGCATTTAATAAAAAATTATAAGACAAACAAAACATGCAAGAACAATGACTCATTGGAAAGAGATAAAGCAGTCAATAGAACCAGACTTAGAATTGATCCATAAGTTGGCATTATCAGACAAGATTTAAAACTAAACTTAATATAATAGATATGTTAAAGGATCTAGAGGACATGATGGACCACATGCATGAACAGAGAGTGGATTTGGAATGGAAACTATAAGGAATGGAATGGAAACTATAAGAATTAATGATAGCGGATTTCATTAGAGGAATGGAAACTGTAAGAATTAGTCTAATGAAAATGCTAAAAAAAATTTAAATCCTATGGTAACAGAGACAAAAAATTCCTTTGATGTTCTCATTATAAGACTGGAAACAAGGATTGAGTAAATTTGAAGATAGAGCAAAATAAATTATTGAAACTGAAATAAGAAGAGGAAAACAAACAGACAAAACTGACAAAAAATACAGAATAGAGAAATTAAGAGCTGTGGGAAAATATCAGACTAACATACATTCCAAAAACAAAACAAAATAAAACTGGAAATACTACAGCCAAACTGCTGAAAATAAAAGATAATGAGGAAACCATGAAGTCAGGCAGAGACAAGCAAAGGTAAGATTGACCACAGACTCCTTATCGGTAGCTAAGCAAGTCAGAATACAATGACATAACATCTTCAAAGTGCTGAAAGAGAAAAACCTCTTGAATCTGAATTCCATTCCCAGTAAAAGTGTTCTTCAAAAAGAATAGCAAAATAAAGTACTTTTTAAGGTAAATTAAAGAAGAATATATTGTCAGCACGTATATACAATAAGAAATGTTAAAGGAAATTCTTCAAACAGAAGAAACATACCAAATGGAAATTTGGTTGCACAGAAAGAAATGAAGAGCACTGGAAACAGTAAAGTGAGGGCAAGCATAAAATATTTGTTTTCTTATTTTCAGTCGCTGTAAAGAGAATTGGCTGTCTAAAGCAAAAAAATAGTAACATGATTGTGGGTTTATACAATGTGCAAAAGTAAGATGAATGACAATTGTGGCACAAAAATAAGAGGGAGCAATGTAACATGTTGTAATCTGCTTAAACTATACACTAATTGGTACAGTAATATTTGGAGATTATCTGTGATAAGTTACAGATATACATTGCAAATCCTAGGAAAGTCACTAGAAAATAAGGGTATTACTAATATGCTTCCAATAGTGGAAATAAAAATAAATAATAAAAATAATGAAAGAGAAAGAAAAAAGCAAAGGACAGATGGGATAAATAGACAATCACCACCAGCTTGGTATAATTAATTTAAAAAATATATAAATAACAGCAATTACAGTAAATTCTAATGATCAAAAACCAATTAAAAGGCAGAAATTGTCAGATTGGATTATAGATAAGGATGGCAGGTAAGGTAAGAACCAACTATAGAAATTGGAAAACATTTCAAATATGAAGTCATAGAAAGGTTAAAAGTAAAAGGATGAAAACTATATGTCATGGAAGCAATATGCAAAAGAAAACTGAGTGGCTTTATGAATGTCAGATAAAAATAGACTTCAGAACTAGGAATATTGCCAGGACATATATGATTATAATTTATAAAGAGGACATAACATTCCTAAATGTTTATATGTACATAAAAATAAAACTTCATAATACAGGAAGGAATAAGTGATGGAACTGAAAGGAAAAAATGGACCAATCAACAGTTACAGTGGGAGATTCAATACTCTTCTTTAAGTAAGTGGCAGAAAAAGTAGATGAAAATGTATAAAAATATAGAAGACCTAAAGAACATTATCAACTAAGTCAACCTAGTTGATGTTTGTAGAGTACCCTTCTAGTGAGAGCAGAATGCACATTTTCAGACGCAATAGAATATTCACCAAGATAGACTATATTTTCGGCCATGAAACAAACTGCAATAAGTTGAAAAGAGTTAAAATAATACAAGACATATTTTCAGACAACATTATTTAGAAATTAAACAGCACACATGGGTCAAAGCACGCCATGGCTCAAAAATAAAACGTTTAGAATATAATGTAAGTAGAAACCCAATATATGAAACTTGTGGGCTGCAATAAAAGAATAGATTTATAGTATTAAATGCTTGTGTAAGAGAAGAAAAAAGGCTTAAATAATTAATCTAAGTTTTTATCTTGAGATAAAAGAGCAAAATAAATTCAAAACAAGTACAAGAGCAGAAATAAAAATAAAAGCAGAAAAACCAATGAAATACAAAAAAGAAAAACCATAGAAAATTCAGTGAATCATATTGTGGCAAAAAATAATTTGTTTTTAATATCATAGTGCTTAAATCAAACTTGCACTTTACTATTGGAAGCAAGACTATAAAATGACATAACATTAATGTATTATTTTAATTTTCACATATACTAGAATGTGCTATTTCTGCAAAACATAATTTGCAGCAATGTCTACTGACATTTTTCCAAACAATTATTTTAAATTGCCTCCAGATAACTTATCTTTTATCAGCTTCTTTCCACTGTTTTTATAATTACAATGTATAATACAAAAATAAATATGGCATACACCATGTTTTATTCATAGACAAATTGGAGTTTATCTATCATTTAGTCATCTCCTTTTGACTTGATTCATTTAAGCTTTTTCCTTCACCCTCCTTTAGTCTTTTTACTTTCCTTTTTCTCTCTCTACTTTCAAGTACTTCCTCTCAAGTAGTTCTGAAGTTGACTGTTTCTTGGCTCTGAAATTATAATACAGCATCAAGAAAATAAAAGGGTGCTGGTGTCTAGGTTTCTCCTTTACTAGTTCAGAGAATTTCTCTGAGCAGTCAACTGTTAATACCTCTGATAATGATTTACATTTAGAATTCACTGTCAAGAAACAACTGTAACCATTGTCTACAAAGATTGATGCTGTGTGCCTGAGAAAGGCAAAGCAAGTGTGCATATTGGCTCTTTTTCCAAAGGCACTGGAATTTTCAAGATATTTTCCTTCTCAAAGGAAGACATACATATAATACATGTGGCCAAGAAACATATTTAAAAAGTTCAACATCACTAATCATTAGAGAAATGCAAATCAAAACCACAATGAGATACCATCTCACACCAGTCAGAACGGCTGTCATTAAAAAGTCAAAAAATAACATGCTGGGAAGGTTGTGGAGAAAAAGGAACACTTACATACTGTTGGTGGGAGTGTAAATTAGTTCAGTCATTGTGGAAGACAGTGTGGTGATTCCTCAAATACCTAAAAACAGAAATTCTATTTGACCCAGCAATCCCGTTACTGGGAATATACTGAATTCCAGAAATTCTGTTTCACCTAGCTATCCCATTGCTGAGAATATATCCAAAGGAATATAAATCATTCTATTATAAAGACACATGTATGCATATGTTCATAGCATCACTATTCACAATAGCAAAGACATGGAGTCAACCTAAATGCCCACCAATAATGATACACTGGATAAAGAGAATGTGGTACATATACACCCTGGAATACTATGCAGCCATAAAAAAGAATGAGATCATTTCTTTTGCAGGGACATAGATGGAGCTAGAGGCCATTATCCTTAGCAAATGAACACAAGAACAGAAAAACAAATACAACATGTTCTCACTTTTAAAGGGAACAACACACACTGGGGCCTGTTGGAGGGTAAGGGGTGAGAGTAAGGAGAGGATCAGGAAAAATAACTAATGAGCACTAGGCTTAATACCTGGGTAATGAGAGAATCTGCACAACAAATACCCAGGACACAGGTTTATCTATGTAACAAACCTGCACATGTACCCCTCAATCTAAAAGTATTTTTTAAAAAAGTAAATAAATGTAAAAATTTCAAAAAAAGAAAATGTAAATGATGGTTCACCTTGTATTTGATTTTCGTGAGTTTGGCTATAACATGTCTAGATATGGCTCTTCTTGTCTTTACCCCACTGAGGATTATTTAGAGCCATTATATATGCAAATCTTTTTCTTCTCCTTTCTATTGTTTTCTTCTTGGAATCTCATTACATATATGTTGAATGTTGAATGTTTTCCTACATGTCTTTGTATTTCTGCTTTATTTTCTTTAAACTTTTTGTCTCTGTTCTTCAAACTGAATAATTTCAATTGACTTATGATTGAAGTCACTGATTCTTTTGCCATCTTACGTCTGTTTTTGAGTCTATCTATTGAGTTTTTCATGTCTAAGAATTCTTTTTTAACTTTGGAATCACCTCTCTTCTGGAGACTACTGCTAACCCATGTCACAGCAGTCAATCAGTTACTTTCCACCACCCTCTTGCACAAATAGTAACTTCTCCAAAGTAAGGTTATATGTCACTTTCTTTCATTAAAAAGAAAATTAGTAAATTTAGAATAAACCTAAATTCTTATGAAAGAAAATAATCTAATGTTTACTAATAACCTATTATGTGTCATACATTTAGCAAAGCCCATCCACAAGCTTCCTTTTAGAACATATCCTAAAAATAAAAGTCATCTACAACTGGCTACTGACTTGCCTTTCTTGCTTTGGCTTTAGCTACTTCCACTCTTGAAACATGACTTAAAACTAGACTGGAGTTTCTGCTCACCCAAGATTAAACGTTATATCTTTCTGACTCTGGTCAGGATTCAGTCTTTCATATTCTTACTCATATTTAAATGCTCATATTTGTGTGTCTATACTTTCCTACTTATTACCTTCAGAATTAACCTCTATTTTTTTGAATCCCCAAATCACAGTTTATATCAGCCTTACAAGGAGTAATGACTTTCTTCCTTGTATCATAGTCATTTTTCAATACAAGTTATATATCCCTTGTGGCAATATTCTCCCCATCTACCTTAAGTATTATAACATTTGAATGGATTATATTAATTTCAGCTAAATATTGCTTTCTCATCTTCCACTGACTATAGGTGTGGTCACGTGACAGCAACCTCACCAATAAGATGTAAACAGAGTTGGTGTGATCAATTTCCAAGTCATGACCTTAAAGAAAGTAATGTTCTCCTTCTGTCCCTCCTTTTAGCCTTCCATCACCCAGAGTGTGATGATATTTGAGGAAGACTTTGGTCCTAGGGTTGGTAAAGCAATTAGATAGAAGAAAAATGGGTCTCTGACATTGTAAATTCACCATACCAACCCTTAATCACTTATATTATATTGTAACCTGAAAAAGAAATGCTGTTTTATCTTGCTTCAGCCACTGCTATTTTGGTGTTTGTTATAATACCTAAATCTCCATTAAAATTAATATGACCTAGATTTATAAATTCTTTGGGAGCAGGAATCACAGCCTATCTTTGCATTTTTTATATTCATCGCATTGCTTAGCCAAATACCTTGTATATATAAGAACTTAATAAATGTGGTTGCATTGAACAAATTTCCCAAAAAGTACATTGAGTAACATCTTATGTAAGGGAACTGGCCTACAAAAGGATAAAATGAGATCCTTTTTCTCCATGTAGTAGAGGAATGGAGATAATCCTTCTCTAAGCCTTGCCCAAATTGCAGATTTGACATGGGGAAGGGGGTAGAGAAAAAAAAAAGAAAAAGAAATGATTGCTGTTTAAGTTACTGAGTTTGGGGTGATATGTTAGGCAGCAATATATAACCAGAACAATCCTAATATTACCTCTTCTTTTTATCTTATTAAATAAGGTGACTTTTAAACATAAATACAAAGGATTAATATGATTATTTTAAAGGTTTGTAGTCTACAGTTCAAAATCATGAGTTTGTAACAAGTGGTTTCCAAGCATGCAGAGGGAGGGGCAGGGTTGAACAGATGAAGCACGGGGGAGCTTCAACTATTTTAGATGACGCTGTTGTGGTGGATATATGACAGTACACATTTGTCAAAACCCATAAAACTTTTCGGTACCTTAATGTATGCTACTTAAAAACAAAAACAGAAACATTTAAGAGGTTGGAAGATTCCAGGATAGAATGCAAAATGTGACAGAAGGATCCAGCTGTATTACGAATGTATGAAAGATGCATACTGAAAAAGGGGCAAAATGTCCTCACTTAAGTAACATTGGAAATGGGTGTAATTGGAAAAATTAAAGGCAAAAGGTATTATATACAAGAACAATACTTTGTCGATAAATTCATATTCCACAGTAATACAGGTTAACAATTCTGAAACTACAATACATGTATACTGGAATTGAATAAGTAAATGGATGGTGGATTGTGTGAGCCAGGTTTCTCCCTGTTGGAGTGGGAAATAGCAAAGGGAGACAGCTACAATGAGCTATGTGGTTGGTATGTGGTAATGAATTCAAGGTGGAGGCATTAGTGTGAACTCATGTATAACTTAATATATAGATAGTTGTTTGTACATAAATATACATAGATTTGTATATATACATATGTTAGTACACACACATATATTTCCTTGCCCTATCAGCTGAGAGGGCCTAGAAGCATTGACACCCCAATAGCAATGAGTGCACCTGACACCTAGATCTTGGTTTCTAATACATTCTCCGGTAAGGGAATTAGAGCTTATTAGAGAAATGCCTGATTCTAGGACTAGGGCAAGAAACAAAAAATAAGCCTAAAGCATTTTGCAGTGCCAAAAAGTAAGAAAGTGCTAAAAACAAAAATGATAAAAATATGTCAAAGACACACAGGACCCAGCTGAAGGAATTCTCAATGGCTAAATCCAGAACAATTTGAGCAACAAAAAATATAAAGTACTATTAGATTTTAACGCAAGGTATAAAATAAATGTTCATCGGTTCATACAAAATAAATAAATAAAGATAAGAGACAAATGTCTCATACAGAAGAATTCCAAATAATTTATGTAGATAGTCTGCCCTTAAGGATGTGAAGTATAACTCCTCCTTCCTTAAGTGTGGGCGGCACATTGTGGTTTTCTTCCAAAAAGTACAATATGAAAAGGAAGAGAGAAGAGCAACTTAACAGTGGTACAACTTCATGAACACTTCCCTAGCCTGATAGTCAAGCCTAACATAAACTGTGGTAAGTCATGTTCATCATATGTATCCTTCATATGCTGTAAAGAGAATTGCACTGTTCCTCTGGCCTTCCTCCCAAAAGTCAGTAACACAGTCTAATCAGAAAAAAAAAAAAAAACTATCAAATCCATCCCAATGAAAGGACAGTCTTTAAATGATAAGCACTCTTCAAAAATGCCAAGGTCATCAAAAACATAAAAAGTAAGAGAAATGGTCACATCCAAGAGAAGCCTAAGGAGATGAGACAATTAAATGTAATGGTATCCTGGGTGGGATCCTGGCACAAAAAAAAAGGACACCAGGCAAGAATTTTAAAAAGCTAAATAAAATGTTGATTTTAGTTAATAATAATATGTAAATATTGGCTTGTTAATTTTAACAAATGTACCAAAATAATAGTAACATGTTAGTAATATGGGAAACTGGGTGTGAAGTACATGAAAACTGTATTATCTTTGCAATTTTTCTGTAATTATAAAATAATTTTTAAACAAAAAGTGTATTTAAACATATTACAATCATTATTGTCTCTTCTCTTATCCTCCCATCCCATATCCAATCCATCAGCAAAATCCTGTTCATTCTACTACCAAAATATAACCAGAGCCCAGTCAATTTTCTTGGCTTCAATGCTTCTACTCTGACCAAATCCTCTTGCTCACAATAGCTTCCTACTGATCTCTCGAACCATGCTTTTTTGTTCCCATTTGGTCTATTCTAAACATAGCAATAATGAGGATTTTTCTAAAGCTAAAAAAGTAAAGTGAGACCATGTCACTGGACTACTCAAAATCCTTCAATGTTTCGCTATTTGCCAGGGCATAAGCCATGGTACTTATAAAGATGTACTAAATTCCATGTAATCTGATCTAGTTTCTTTTCAAATCTTATTTCTTTTTTTTAATGCTTAAAAAGTGATTATATTTTTATTTTAAAAGGTTATGTTTCATGTCTTCTTTTTTTAATTTTTCTTTTTGTTATTATATTTTAAGTTTTAAGGTCCATGTGCACAACGTGCAGGTTAGTTACATATGTATACCTGTGCCATGTTCTTATTGCTCTTCCTCCTATTAGCCCTACTCCTGGTGAATGGCACTAAATTCCCAGTAAGCTGCTGTCTCAAGATCCTGACACTTTCTGTTTCTTCTACTAGAATGTCCTTCTCTAAGAATTAGCATATTTTATTCTCTTTCTGCCTTTAAATTTTTACTCAAATATTGTCCCATTGACAAGTCCTTTCCTAGTGACTCCTCTAAATTCCAACCCCCTAAAACACTTGCCATTGCCTTTTTGTACCTTGTCTCCTTAGCCCTTTTGATCATCTACCATACTATTTTTACTTATTTATCTTGCTTATTATCTATGTCTTTTCATTAGACTGTAAAGCCCATGAGAGTGGGAAGTTTGTCAGCTGTGTATACACATTTATCTTCCCACAAGAGTGCCTGACATCCAAAGGCAGTGTTAATATTAATATTTATTGAATGAATTAGTGAATGAATAATAAATATACAGTTGGAAGGAAAGGTATGCTTCTATGCATGTGACTGGCATATCTAACTTTTGAGTCCATCCTAGTCAAAACAGCTGATAACAGTAACAAGTATTATGACAAAAACATGTTTTTCTAGAGATCTATGTTTCATTTATTTTTGTAGATGGAGATTATTTTTATTTTAAAAGAATCATTTTAAAATACAGTGAGACCTCATTCATTTGAACTACACAAATTTAAAATTTATATTTAAAACTGGGATATATACTAAGAAAAAGTGATTGTGAATCAAATTAATAATGTAGACAAAATCATTGAAGATATTGGATTTCTAAATAACCTAAGAATCATTTTTATAGATTTCTAACAAATGTTTATACTAATGCATGTTCTTAATTACAAGTCAGTTTCATTAATGATTTTAATGAAAGCCTAAGGAACTCTTCTTGAAATAGTTCGAGAACAACTTGTTTAAATCACTGTGTGTACTTAAGAAAAACAAGACTGTATGTCTTCAAGATTAGCCTATTGTCCAGGCTTTTTATGAATACAGGGTAGCTGTTCTTTCAATTAGCCCAAAATGTTGAGCCTTAAAACATTTGTCTGATTTTAGTTTCTCTGTTATGTGTTTTTTTTCAATTTGCTTGTGTTGTAAAATAAACCTCCTTATGTTATTTTCATGACTTAAGACATTAACAACTCTCAGGGTACTGAAAGAGTCTAGAATTAATAAAGAAAAATTGCATACAGCATAACAATACTTTTTTTCTTCTTGTTCTCTAATTGCTGTTTACTTCATATCTACATAGAACAAAGCTTTGAAAAAACTATTATTGTCGAACTGTTTTTAAAGTTATTTTCTAATACTTTTTATTGATACACAATATTGTACATATTTGTGGAGTACACGTGATATTTTGTTACATATATAATATGTGCGATGATCAAGTCCGGGTATTTGGAGTATTCATCACCTTGAGTATCATTTCTACGTGTTGCGAACATTTTAAGTTCTTGCTTCAAGCTACTTTGAAATATACAATACATTGTTGCTAACTATAGTTATACTACTCTGCTACTGAAATTTAAAATTTATAACTTCTATCTAACTGTACCTGGGTACCCACTGATCACCCTCTCTTCATCTCTGCCTCCCACCAACACACCCTTCCCAGCCTCTATTATCTATTATATCACTCTCTGTCTCCATGAGGTCAACTTTTTTGTTCCCATATATGAGTCGGAACATACACAATTTGTCTTTCTGTGTTTGGTTTATTTCACTTAACATAATGACCTCCAATGCAATCTATATCACTGAAAATGACAAAATTTCATCCTTTTATGGCCAAACAGTATTCACTGTGTATATACGTCACACTTTCATTATTCATTAGTCCATTGAGGAACTCTTAGATTGATTCCGTGACTTTGCTATTGTGAATAATACTGTAATAAACATGTGAGTGCAGACGTCCCTTTGATCTTTCCTTTGGATAAATACCCAGTGCTGAGTTTGCTGGATCATATGGTAGTTCTATATTTCATCCTTTGAGAAAGCTCCAGACTGTTTTTCTTAGTGGCTATACTAATTTATGGTCCCACCAACAATGTATGGGTTGCATTTTCTCCACTTCCTCACCAGCATTTGTTACTTTTTTGTCTTTTTAGTAATAGCCATTCTAACTAGGGTAAGATGATGTCTTATTATGGTTTTGATTTACATTTCCCTGATGATTAGTGAGGTTGAGCATTTTTTTCATATACTTGTTAGCCATTTGTATATCTTCTCTTGAGAAATGTCTATTTATGTCCGTTGCCCACTTTCTAATGGTACTATTTGATTTTTTTAACTGTTTAATTGTTTGAGTTGCTTTTATATTGGGATATTAGTCTCTTTTCAGATGAATAGTTGTAAATATTTTCTCTAATTCAAGAGCCTGTCACTTTATTGTTTCCTTTGCTGTACAGAAGCTTTTTAATTGAATATAGTCCCATTTGTCTATTTTGTTTTTGTTATCTGTGCTTTGAGATCTTAGCCATAAAATCTTTGCCTAGACTGATACACTAAAGGATTTTATGTTTTCTTTTAGTAGTTTTATAGTTTCAGGTTTTATGTTTAAGTCTTTCATACTCTAGATTAAAGTATTAATATATAAAAAAATTATACCATGAGAAGAGTCTAGTTTTATTCTTCTGCATGTGGATATCCAATTTTTCCACACCATTGATTGAAGAGGGTGTCCTTTTCTCAGTATATGTTTTTGGCATCTTATTGGAAATCAGCTGGCTATAAATACATGGATTTACTTCTAGATTTTATATTCTGTTCCATTTATCTGTGTGTCTGGTTTTATACCAATAACATGCTGTTTTAGTTACTGGAGGCTTGTGATATATTATAAAGTCAAATAGTGTGATGTCTCCAGCTTTGTTCTTTTTGCTCAGGATCACTTTGGCCATTTGGTCTCCTTTTTGTTTCCATGCAAATTTTAGTATTGTTTTTCCTATTTATGTGAAAAATGATATTGATATTTTGATAAGGATTGCCCTGAATCCATAGATTGCTTTGGCAGTATGGTCATCTTAATGATATTAGTTTTTCTGATCCATGAGCAGGGAGTGTCTTTTCAATTGTTTGTCTCTTCTTCAATATTTTTATCAGTGTTTTGTAGTTTCCTTTGTAGAGGTCTTTCACCTTCATGGTTAAATTTATTCCGAGGTAATTTTTATAGCTATTATAAATGGAAGTGCTTTCTTGATTTCTTTCTCAACTAGTTCATTATTGGTGTATAGAAATGCTACTAATTTTTGTATGTTTATTTTGTATCCTGCAATTACTGAATTTATTTATCAGATCTCAAGGGTTTTTTGGTGGAATCTTTAGATTTATCTAGACATAAGACCATATAACCAGCAAAGAGGAAAAACTTAACTTCTTCTCCAATTTCGATGTCTTTTATTTCTTTCTCTTGACTGATTGCTTTGGCTAGGACTCCAGTACCATGTCGAATAGGAGTAAAGTATTTGATTCTGAGTACATGCAGTAGTGTAGTCTCTGTACTTGGCTATAAACAATGTTAGTGGTGTCTGTGATTTCCTTGGTGTGTTAGGGTTTGTTTATTAGTAGAGGTTATGATAAAGTTGTGCTGGAGACTGGGATGCCAGGTAGGCAAGTCTTTGGCCCAGTGGTGGCATCAGTGGCTGAGCATGCATATCTTTGTGCCCTAGAGCGATGTGCACTGGCACTGGTGTTATCAGGTCCACGCAAGTTGATTCTTGGGCCTCCAGGTGGCTTGCTCAGGTTCCAGGAATGGTAGTGATCGGCCAGGCAGGTGGGTGGGTTTTGAAGTTCCTGGGCAGTGGGCATGGCATGAGCAATGGCAATCAGTGGTGGGACAACCCTCTGAGATCTAAGCTGTCCATGCTGGTTTTATTGATGGCTGCAACAGGCTGGGCAGGCCAGTCCCTACGGCTACTAGTGGCCCATGCCTGTGCGTGATAGCTGTGGAAGTAGCAGCAAGTTGAGTGGACCCACCCTCAGACCTCAGAAGGAGTGCTCAGGTGCCAACCATGGTGATCTGGGCTGGAAGATCACTAAGATCCTTGATGGAATGCTCAGGTGCGAGGTAGGGCTGGACCAGGCAGACCTGCCCTCAGGCCACCCTGTGGCACATGCAGCTGCTGTCTGTGGTAGCCAGGGGCAGGGTAATCCCCAGGCTTCTGGTGGAATTCTCAGGGGGAGCCAGTAGCACCTGCACTCTTGTCCTGCCACGGGGGAGGATAGGGTTGATTTCAGTGGGAGCAAACTTAGGCAAGTAGCTAGGAGGCATGTACTTCTTTTCTGCCTTCACTCAGCATCAGCCCACAGTGGTAGTGGTTGCAGGCAGTAGAATTTGTCCTCAGGGGTATGTGAAAATTAGTGGCCACCCTTCTGCTTGCGGGGAGGGGTTGCTGTCAGTGGCTCCCACCTCAGCCCCAAGTACAGCAGCTGTGAGCAAGAAATGTCAATGGGGCTCTATGGGTGGAGGCTTCACTCTCAAAATGTCACTGCTTAGGACTGGAGGCTTGTGAGACCCAGTGTGAGCTCTGTCTCCAGAGCAATGTCTTTGCACAGTCTCCAGGAAGCTCCCTATGTTAGTCTCAGGGCCTGTGAGAGTCAAGAGGCTCCCCTTTAGCTAGGATTGCAGGAGTCTGTGGCAGGAATGTGGACTTCTGCGTGTATTTCACTTACACTTTGCCTGCATTAAGGAGCCTCCCCAGACTCCCAGACAATCCAAGCTGAACAGGCTGTCTTACTTCCTTCTCCTTTCTTGCTTTTGGTGCTTTCCATCACCTGTCTGTTGAATCACAGTGTTTTCTTTTAGATGATCTATTTGAAATGTAATTATCTACTCAGTATTTTGGTTCCTCTCCTTGGAAGAGGCAACCACTATATGCATCTTACTCATATTAAAGCCCCTAACCCAAGTTTTTTTTTTTTTTTTTTGAGATGGAGTCTCGCTCTGTCATCCAGGCTGGAATGCAATGGCACAATCGTGGCTCACTGCAACCTCTGCCCCCTGGGTTCAAGCAATTCTCGTGTCTCAGCCTTCCGAGTAGCTGGGATTACAGGCGCGCGCCACCACAACCACCTAATTTTTGTATTTTTAGTAGAGACAGGGTTTCACCATGTTGCCCAGGCTGGCCTCAAACTCCTGACCTCAGGTGATCTGCCCGCCTCAGCTTCCCAAAGTGCTGGGATTACAGGTGTGAGCCACTGCGCCTGGCCCCTCCCCCTATTTTCTAATATTTTAAAATTATTTTAGTTATTTTAGTGTTAGTCCAATCTCTGTTTTGCAGGTGAATCATGGAATGTGAAGACCACCAACCGAGTCATACTTTTAAAGACCTAAATAAATTGAGGAATATGTCATATCCATTAATTTTAAAACTCAATATTGTAAAGATTTCAAGTATTCCCAAACTGATCTATAAATGTAGTGATATTCCAATCAAAATCCTAGCAAATTTTTTTAATTGGCAAGATAATTTAAAATGTTGGTTGGAAATGTAAACAGGTAAGAATAACCAAGACGATCTTAAATAATAAATAGAACAAAACTGGAGGATAAACTAGATATCAAGACTTATTTTAAAACTATAGTAATTAAGGCACTGTGGTATTGGAGCAAGAATAGGCAAAACGATCAACAGCACAGAAGAGACAGTCCAGAAACAGACCTACACTTAAGAGTTAAAAGGTAAGCCACTAACTAAGAGAATATATTTGTAACATATTTATCTGATAAAGGACTTGTATCCAGAACATATATAGAACTTTGACAAACCAATAATTAAAAACAAATTAATCATTAGAAGAGACAAAATACTTGAAAAGGGACTTCAAAACAACAACAAATAGCCAATAAGCATTTGAAAAGGTACTCACTATTATTAGTTGTCAGGGACATGCAAATTAACAGCACAGTAAAATACAACCACACATCCACCTTAATGACTAAAATGAAAAAGGATAGCAATATCAAATATTGGCAAAGATATAGAGCAATTGATATTCTCAAACATTTTATGTAAGTGTAAATTGGAATAATCACTTTTGGAAACTTTTTGGCAATGTAAGGGAAGTTGAACATATGTTTCCCTATGTTCCAGTAATTTTTCTTCAACAGAAATGCACACACATATGCAAACAAAGACATATAACAAATTTCATGGCAGCATTATTAGTGTCAGCAAAAAACTAGAAGCAACCCTCAAAACACTCAATATTAAAATTGGTAAATAAATGTATATGTTCAGGCACTGGAATACTTTACAGCAAATGAAAATTTAAAATCCACTGCCACAAAAAAATACGGATAAACTTCATAATTATAGTAGTGAGTGAAAGATGCCAAACACAAAAGAGTATCCTACTATTTGATTCATTCTATTTATATAAAGTTCAAAATTAAAACAGTCAAATTAATCACCAAAATAATAGTTAACTTGAAGGAATGAATGAAAAAGTATACAAAGAACTTCTGGTGTTCTATAAATATTTATTTCAGAAATACCACATGATCCTTGGGGTGTTACTTCACTAGCTAGAAAAATTTGTGACCAGTATACCTTTGCCCAAGTTTCCCTCAGGCCTGTTGGGCTCTGCCCACTCAATCTGGCCAGCTACACTCAGCTTGTGCTGTCAGCCTGGATCCCACACCTGCCAAGGGTGAGCCAGGATTGGAGTGGCAAGGGGTGCATGAGCGAGCAAGCACAGGGTCTGGCTGCTGCCCACAGCCAGGCATGCCGGCTGTGGTGGGGTGGGCAGCTCCAGGATCTGGCACAGGTGCCAGCTCTGTGCAAGGCTGCAGCTGCCCCATGTGTACCACAAGTGGCTTCCACTGTGGGCTCCAGGGAGCACAGTGGCACCTGAATGCTTGGAGACACCAGGAACCATAGAGCCCCAAAGAGGGCGTCACAGCTCTGGCTCAGGAGGCCTAAGGTCTGGCCTCCTCTCTCCTTCTTGTTACTTGCAATGCAGTGAGCAGGGGGGATGTGTTTCAGGCCTGTTTGTGTTACAGTTCTTTCGGTCCTACCATTTGGTGGGTCCCATGTTCTTGTCCTGTGTCCAGGAAGAATGAGGTACATGAACAACTAGAGGGTGAGAAAGGCAAATAAGTGCTTTATTGAGTGACAGTACACCTCTTAGGAAACCCGTGCTCCTTTCTGCAGACAGGTCGTTCCTATGTTTGTGCAGCCATCAGCGGAGGGGAAACCCAGAGTGGGTAGCTCCTATCCAGACTTAGGAAGGTCATCCTAAAGTCTGCTCAACTCTGGCTGAATCCAGGATTTTTATGGGCTTCAGAAGAGAGGAAGTGCATGCTGATTGGTCTATGGGTGGTCATGGGTGGACCTAGGGAAAGGCATCGTAAGTCCTCACTCTGGTCTGCGGAACTGGTGGCTAGGCCCCCAGGCCCCCAGGCCTCAGGCCATTCCTGGCTTGAAGGTGGGGCTTACCCGGGACCCTTTCTGTCCAGGAGCCTGTCTGCCTCCTGCCATCATCAACCTAATGTTTATGGCACCCAGGCTGTGCATGTCAAGGGGCGCCTGCAGGTTTACACCAAGTCATTTTTAGCCCCCTCATCAGCCTCCCTCCAATGCTGGTCAGCACCCAAAGTCGAGAGGATGCTGATGTGGCAAGGGGCTGGTATGTCAGCATCGCCCTGAGCACACACACACCCAGCTGGGGTGTGACAGCGCCCAAGCTCGCCCACAGGTTTGCTCTGAAATAAGAGTGGACCCTGGGAGCAGGGAGAGGCCAGGCAGCGGGACCAGACACTTTCAAGCCTGCAGGGGCAAGGGACTTCCTGGGCCCCTGAGAGCACAGTGATGCCTGGTCCACAGCCGTGGCTGGGCAGCTGCAGATTTGCCTGTAAGGGTGGAGCTTCTGCCCCTCCAAATTGGAAGGGGGCAGGTGGGGATCCCACCGGCTCTGTGGAGTGCAGCCCTGGCTGCACCTCCCCTACTGCAGCCGGTATCATGGTAGCAGTCACTTCAGACAGGGCGCCGCTGCCATCAATATTATATTTTTGATCTGAGTAGTGATTACACACCTGTGTTCTCTTTATAAAAATCTTTGTAAAATTTAAGTGCTCTGGAAACTGAAGATGTTTAATTTTTTCTATTATTTTTTCAACAAAAATTTAATAAAAATGATAGCAATTAAATGCTAAATAAGAATGCATGGAAGATAGAAGAATATTTAAAGTTATAATATTCTAATGTGTTTTTGTTATCCTAAATGGGAATAGATTGATCAGTTTTCGATATTGTTAAGTATGCATATTAAAATTTAAGGATAACACCACCACCAAAAGAATAAGAATGGAATGTAAAACTTCCAAGTCTGGACTATAAAATATGGATAAGAGGAAAGTCCCATATGTACAATAGAAGAAAGAGAGCAGATGATAGTACAATAGCCTGTAAGTGAACAGAGGCAATGATTTGAGCCAGGGTAAGGTGGAAACTCTCAAAGCTACAATCTCAAAATGAAATGATAAACTGGAAAAATATCTACCTACTGGCAAAAGTAAAGAGCAGGAAATCTATTTGGTCTCCTTGTGAATTTTGGGCCCAGGGTGGGTGTGGAAGAGGCCTCCCTTGAGTATTTTAGCAATAGATATGTTAGTGGTAATTAATTTCTTTTCTTTTTTTTTTTTTTTTTTTGAGATGGAGTCTTGCTCTGTCACCCAGGCTGGAGTGCAATGGCATGATCTCGGCTCACTGAAACCTCAGTTTCCTGGGTTCAAGCAATTCTCCTGCCTCAGCCTCCCAAGGAGCTGGGATTACAGGCATGTGCCACCACACCTGGCTAATTTTTGTATTTTTAGTAGAGACAGGGTTTTGTCATGTTGGCCATTCTGGTCTCCAACTCCTGACCTCAGGTGATCTGCCCACCTCAGCCTCCCAAAGTGCTGGGATTGCAGGCATGAGTCACTGCACCAGACCGTGGTAATTAATTTCAAGGGTCACAGACTTTAGGTGCCCCAGGGAACCTTACTGAAGCAAATGTAAATACATTTTAGAGGAATTATCTCAAGTTAGATAATTGCATCAGACATACTTAAATAGGTACTTACATTCCAAAATTACAAGACACATGAGGAAATTTGGCACCATAAGGAAGTGGCAGCAGAGAAAACATACTATCAAATCTCAAAGAATTCAGATATTAAAATTGTTAGAGACAAAATGTTAAATATGTTTAAAAGTATTTTAAAATGTAATGGATGAAGTTCAAAACATAAAGAGCAGGAGGCTTTTTAAAAGATGTCTGGCAGATTTGAAAGAAGAATAAATGGAATTTCCAGAAAAATATAATTGTTGATGTTAAATATTTAACCAGTTCAAACAAACACAATAAAAACAGCTGAAAAGAAAATTAGTGAATGAAATAATGGGATACAGTGAACCAAAAAGATGGAAAAAAGTAAGCAAAAAGAACTAAATACAATGCGCTTCAAAGAAGAAATTACTGGAAATAAACTCTCTTGGGATTTTATGCTACTTAAATAAGTTTGATGATGTTAAGGAGGGCTAGAACGAGGAGGACTCCCACCAAAATACTATACAAGCTAATAAGTTAGCCTTCCATAGTCCTATGGAAGGTAATAGAAGAATGCAAGACTCCTGGTCACAGAGAAGAAGTTTAAGGCAGCACAAACAATAGAAGTATTGTCATCATAGTTGTATTGGTTTCACTGAACCCAAAATTGCACAGAGCAACAAGGAGAGCTAGGTGGAGCTGCACACACAGGAGTATGCTGCATAAGGGAAGCTTGAGCTTAGAGAATCCATTGATTTTAGAGCAAGCTTGCCCAACCTGCAGCCCGTGGGCCACATGCAGCCCAGGACAGCTTTGAATGTGGCCCAACACAATTTTGTAAACTTTCTTAAAACATTATAAGGTTTTTCTGCGATTTTTTTTTAGCTCATCAGCTATAGTTAGCATTAGTGCATTTTATGTGTGGCCCAAAACAGTTCTTCTTCCAATGGGGCCCAGGGAAGCCAAAAGATTTGACATCCCTGAGCAAAAAGCAAGACTGTTCTTTGTCCAAAGGGATACCTGGTGTATGTTTTACCTCACATTTCAAAATTGCCTTGAGCATTAACAATTCTAAGAAGTGGCTTAAGGAAAGAACAGCCAAAGTATATTAGACCATTTTCACACTAGTATAAAGAATTTCCCAGAGACTGGGTGATTTATAAAGGAAAGAGGTTTAATTGACTCACAGTACCACACGGCTGGGGAAGCCTCAGGAAACTTACAATCATGACAGAAGGCAAAGCAGGTACATCTTACATGGTGGCAGGCAAGAGAAAGAGCATGTGTAAGCACAGGAAAAACTACCACTTATAAAACCATCAGGTCCAGTGAGAGTTCACTCACTCTCATGAGAACAGCATGGGGGAAACTGCCTCCATATTCCAAACACTTACCTCCCTCAACATGTGGGGATTACAGGTCCCTCCCTCGACACATGGGGATTACAATTCAAGATGAGACTTGAGAGAAGAGAAAGAGCCAAACCGTATCAGAAGGTCTTACAGTTTTGGACCATTGAGCAAGATACACAAGAGGTCCAGAGAGGCAGATTCTCCATATGTCATTCTAACATGAAAAGAATTTGCCAGAAAATAAGGCACCATTCCTCTAATACAGCAATCATAATGAATCTTGGGAGTTCTGTTTCCATTTAGTCTTTTACCTACCTGTCAAATCTTAAATTTCCTGTTAGATCAAGGTATTTTGTTTTGCATTGTTTAATCACTTTTTTTGGCATTTTTCGTTTATAATATTGTTTAAATAAACTTTTCATTTAAGAACTGTTTCAGATTTTCAGAAAAATTGTTGAAATAATACAAGGAGTTGTATCATTTTTGTATCTTTGTATTTTTGTATTTTTTATTTGTATTATGGTTCCTATATCCAGTTTTCCCTATTATTAATATCCTACGTTAGTATGGCATACATTTTATAATTAATAAACCAATATTGATTTATTCCATACTTTATTCAGTGTTTTGGTTTTAACCCAATGTCCTTTTCCTTTCTAGGATCCTATCCAGTATACCACCTTACATTTACTCATTGTGTTCTCTTAGACTCCTCTTGGCTGTGACATATCTATTAGATTAGTTAAAATAAAGGAAAAGAAAATATTTAAATTTATTTTAACTTATTCCTTGTCCAGTGTTTTTCCTTTCTTTACATAGATTTGACTTTCTGACCTATATCATTTTATTTGTCCCTGAAAACGTTCTTTAAACATTATATGCAAGGCAGGACAGCTAGCAAAAAAATTCTCTCAATTTTGTTTGCCTGAGAAACTATTTCCTTCACTTTTGAAGGATAATTTCACTGCATATATAACTCAAGGTTGGTGGTATTTTTTCAACATTTCAAATATATTACTTCAGTTTCTTCTTGCTTACAAGGTGTTGTGAGTTGAAGGTGTTGTGAGGTGAATTATTTATACCTGCTAAAAAGATACATTGAACCTCCAGTACCTGAGAATGTGACCTTATTTGGAAATAATGTTTGTGGATATAATCAAGATTAAGATATGTCATAATGACATATGTCCTTATAAAGAGAGTGATATGAAGACACAACAAACACAGGGGAGAAGGCCATGCTATGGTGGGGGAAGATATTGGAGTGATGCAACTGCAAACCAAGAAACCCCAAGGATTGCCTTCACAGGAAACATAGTCCTGCTGACATCTTGATTTCAGACTTCTAGCCTCCAGAACTATGAAAGAATAAATGTCTGTGATTTGAAGCTACCCAGTTTGTGGTACTTTGTTACTGCAACTTTATGAAACAAATACACATGGGTTTCTTAAGAGAAGTATGCTGTAATTCTTATGCTTGTTCCTCTATAGGTGAAATTCCCTACCCACATACCCACCCACCCCTCACACTCTTGGCTTCTTTCGAGATTTCTCTTTGTCTTTAGCTCTACAATGTGAATACAATATGCCTTGGTGTCAAATTTTTTGGTGTTTATTCTTCTTGGTACTCTATGAGCTCTCTGGTCTGTTGGTTTGGTGTCTGTCATTAATCCTACAAAATTCTTGGCCATTATTTCATTAAATGTTTCTCCTGCTCTATTATGTCTTACTTCTCTTTCTGGTATTTTGTCTTGTTTTGTCTTGCGTGTTGTTTTGGGGCTTCCCTAAGCACTCCACCACCCCATCTTAAAGAGAGTCTGCAACTCTCATCCTTTACAATTTAATCTACTGTTATTATACAAGATCCCTCTTAGTAAAGTAGTAAGGTGTAAGCAAAAGAAAGCATTCCATAATGTTATCATTAAATATCCATTTTTTAGTGGGCTGATGTATCAGACCTGTGACTTTCATACATGCTTCTTAGCTTTTTTCACCCCTTGGGAGAGACAGGAAATCTAGAGTCTTTTCTGGCTTTCCAAGGAAAAGCCTAGAATGAGATCCCTTCTGGGCTGGGATTTTTAAATATTGGCAACTCATTCAGGTTAGCTGTCTATTTCCAAACTGTTCAAATAATTCCAAGTGCACTTTACTTTGGACCTATGTTATAATCTATCAGTTGATTATTTCCCCTCTAAATTTTTCTACAACCACTCAAGTTGTAGCAACTTGGGGCCATCTGAAAATGTCTATCATTTGAGTAATTAGATACATATACAATACCAGATATATGGTCAATATCAGTAAGACATTATTTAATATTACTTTCTATTAAAATCATAAAAGACTTAAGTCTAAAATAAGTCTCTTGCTAAAGTTGTTAAGGTTTACTAAACCTGTAGTCAGTCTTGTGGCAATAAAAAATAGTTCACTTTATTCGAGGAACTGTTTATATCCTTAAAATAATTTAGTAACTCCTCTCTAAACCGCAATCCCTTTAACTTTTGCGTTACCAATCTATTTCTTCTACTTTAACAATTTTGTACTTCTTAATAAGAATCCTTCTCAGTTACTCCACAACCCTTTCTAAATAGTGAGTTCAAGCCAGAGAAAATGTGGAATGACCTCAGGATTCACATTATGTGTCCCTATTTTCCAGCCTAATACTGATAGCAATAGGAGACAGAAAAATTCCTATGCAGACAGGGGCTGGTCACAAGTAAGGATCAACCTTCAACCTGAGGAACAAGCTGCTTGTTCCACATAGAGTCCACGACCAGAGTGAGAACGTCTATCCCCATCTTACTCACTCTCTCTGGACTGGTTCCTTCTGGATGATGCCTTTTAACCAATCAAATGCTGCTTTTTCCAAGACCACCCATGGACCAATCAGCATGCACTCCCCCATTCTAAGCCCATAAAAACCCCAGAGTCAGCCTCACAGAGGGCAACCCACTTTTGGGGTCCCCTTTCACAGCTGAGAGCTTTCCTTCTGTTGCTCAATAAAATTCTTCTCTACCTTACTCACTCTCCAGTGTCCACGTACCTTATTCCTGTTGGCCATGGAATAGGAATGCAGAACTTGCCAAGCTGAGGTCAGCGGGAGCAAAAAAGCTCTAACCCTCATGTTTGCTGAGCTGTGGGTGATGGAAATAAACCGGCTATAATCCTCCCATTCACTGAGCTGTGGGTGGTGGGAGTAAAAAGAGTTGCAACCCTCCCTCCTACTTGCTGAACTACAGGAGTTGCAACAATACCACAACTGGTTCTATATTGCAACGCTTTTAACCATACCATATGTATTTTAAATAAGCTGATACTGGACTTCAAGAGACAGTGAGAGAGCATCTTTATGAATAAATGAATCCCAGCAACCTTAGCAAGAGAGACTTATTTTTTATAAAGATGGGTTCCTACTATGTTGCCCACGCTGGTCTCAAACTCCTGTGCTCAAGTGATCCTCCCACCTTGACCTTCCAAAGTGCTGGGATTACAGGTGTAAGCCACCACACCGGGCCAAGGGTATAATCTTATCTAGCTCTTGACTCTTAAGTAAAAAAAGGCAGACTAGTATGGTGGTTATATGCAAGGGCTTTGGAGTCAAGCAGGCCTTTGTTAGAATCCTGGGTCTGAGCCTGGGCAACATAGTGAGACCCTGTCTTTACAAAAAAATAAAAATATAACAGAATTAACTGGGCATAATGGCAAATGCTTGTAGTCCTGCCTACTCAGGAGGCTGAAACAGAGCCTTGGTCTGAGGATTGCTTGAGCCCAGTAGTTTGAAAATGCAGTGAGCTGTGACCACACCACCGCACTCCAGGCAGGGCAACAGAGTGAGACCTTATCTCAAAATACAGCAAAAAAACAAAAAACAAAAACCTGGTTCTGGAGAATACTAATAAATTACCTTCACAAATTAATTAACTATATTCTCTTCCCTATAAGATGAAAACATAGACTTGTAGAAAAGTATATAAATGAATTAGCAGAGACTCTGGCCCATAAATACATAATAAATGAATAGTAGTTATAATTAGTTACAAGAGTTTTCTTTTGTCCATAAATTTGTATTAAGATGCTATAGGGGACCTCTGTGAATTTTAATCTGACTAAAGAAAAAGAACTTGCTAATTACCTTCTGTTTTCCCCCAATGACATATATTCTATTTAATGAGTTTAGATTTTGAATCTTGGCTCTATGCTTAAAATTTTATTGCCTTAAGAAAGTACTTAACCTCACTGAGTCCAAGTTTTTTCATTAATAGTAGACATTACCAACTGATTTCCTATGTTTAGATTAGAGAATTCATTTATTTAATATAAATTTTTTTATTTTTCTACTATGTACCAGACCTTATTTTAGGAAATTTTGATACAAAGGAAATCAAAATAACCAAGGATTCTAATGTCAATGATTCTAAATCTCCTTTAGGATTTAGTAAATCCTAAAGGAGATTTACTAAAGGGTTAAAAAAAGAATCAGCCACTATTAAAACAAGTACTTTTTTTTTTTTTAAAGATGAAGAGAGCTTTTTAGGCAGAGGCTACACCAAAAAAAACCCAAATGCTGGAAATATCTTGCATGTTTAGGAACAGAAATGAGCAAGGGCTTTGGAATGTTTTCAATGTCAAAAGAAGACTAGTCAGCTGGGCTGAAGTAAAAGAAACTCAGAAGATGATGGGGAGAGGTAGACAGGGCCATATGGCATAGAGCCTTGGCAACAGTTATTACATTTGATTCTATTCTAAGTACAATGAAAAGAGTTTTGAGCAGGTGCCTTTAATGATGGACCTGTATTTCTAAATGTTCTCTGTATTGATAACAGACTAATGGCAAGAATAAAAGCAAGACCAGTTACAAGGCTGCTGAAGGAGTTCAGGCAAGAGGTGGTGGCAGCTTTTATGGGAGTGGTAGCTACGGAATGAAGAGAAGTGAAAATATTTAACATATTTTGAAGATAAGATTAATAGCATTTGCTGGATGGGAAACAGTTAAATCAAGGATGACACTTAGGCTTTTTGATAGATGGTGGTACCTTACACTGAACTGGGAAAACAATGAAAGGAGTAAGTTTGGGGTGAGGAGTAATGAGCAGTTCAGTTTTAGGCATGTTGAGTTTAGATGCTTAAGACAAACCCAGATGGAAATATCAAGCAGATCCTGTATTTCTAAAGAAAGACCTGTACTGGAAAGACACTTAGGAAGACTTTGGCACATAGATATCTAAATGGTGATAAATGTGATCAATCTCCTAGGAAATGCATGTTGCTCAATAAAGAACCAGTATGACTTCCATCCAGGACTTTCATCCAGCATTTGGAGCTCTCGTAAGGAGAAGGTGCAGCAAAGAACTTGGTGAAAGCGCCACAACAAAGAGCAGAAGGAAAATCTAAGTGGCTGGTGTCCTGACAAATGAGAAAAAGGTGAAGAGAGGTCTCCTGTATGGAATGCCACTGAGTGGATTCCATTGAATTAAACAACTAGGAGTCACCGGGACATGGAAAAAAACAGTTTCAATGGAGTGATGGGGCCAGAAGATGCAGTGCAATGAGTTGAGGAGCAGTCATAGACAGAGAGTAAAAATACCTCTCATCTCTATTGCCAGTAAACTTTCATGTCTGGAGAACACTTTGTACTTGGTTTCCAAATTACTAACCTGGTACCAATTCCACTACAGTAGATATTAAAACTGAAAATATATGATCAATTTGTAAACTCAAGATGACTCTCCTTATAAGAATTCTAATTCTTCTTGTGTAAAGCTTATTCATTACAAATAAAAAAGAGATTTTTATGGAGTCCACAATCCTATTATTCTATTTTTATGAGGTACTATATTCTAAATCAGAAACATTGCTTCTTCCTGCAGGGGGCATAGAGTGGGGTGAGAGGAGATGTAAGTTATTCTTGAAATCTTGTCATCTCTGAAATTCCTTATCACTTCATTTGTGTGAGATTAAAGCAAATATTGTAGTAGGTTAAAAAAGTCATTATTGCTTTTAGTAAAGAAAGCAATAAATGAATGCTGAGATTAAGAGCAGATGAGAAACTGAATCATTTAATCAAGATCTAGGGTTATTTGATGTGAATATATTCCAAAATGATCAAAATCATGCAAACCAAATGCTAGAAAAATCATTGTTGGTCTAGCAAAATCAGAATATTGTACACTGTTTTACCAGGATTTACCCAGGATTTAGAAGTTTGATGGTGTTTCTTTGTTTTGCTGATGGGCCAGCAATGGGGTAACTAGGGGCAATGACTCTCCTCTCTGAGTCTTCTCCAGAAGGTGGAGTCCTCACTGCCACTTAATCTTCTATAAACTTAAGCTCCTTATGTAATCTTTTTGAGCCTCAGTTTCCTCAGTTACAATGTATATTTATGCAACAGACATTGGTTGAGCCTCTACAATGGATCAAAAGTTGGTATCTACATCATGATACTTATATCATGGGGTCATTTTGAGGGTAAAAGCTCATGACTTAGTACTCAGGCATCATTATCGCCTCTTATTTCGTCCCTTTTCAAGGTCTTTGCTCGTGTTTCCTCTGCCTGATGTACTCCTCCTCTCCTTACCATTCAATTTTGCTGGGCTAACTCCTAGGTATCCTCCTGATCCCAGCTTTCCCTGACCCTCTCACACTCTATGAGGCCCCTCAGTTTTACAGTCTTCTAGCATCCTGTGTTTTTCCTTCATAACATTTACCACAATTAAAATTATTGGGGTGAATGTTTGCTTATTGTCTGCCTCCTCACTATTTTGTTGACATTGCTGAGGACATTATCTGATACCTAGAAGATGTTTAATAAATATTGTTGCGTGATTAAGTGTGTGAATTGGAATTTCGTTAGAAAAAAAAAGGATAAAGTGGGAGAATTTAAAGATGACTCCAAGATTTTTAGATTGAATAATGGTGCCATTAATAAAAGAAAGAAGTAGATAAGGGAGAAAAGATAATGAGTTTTTGTTTTAAGCATGTTGGAACTACAGGTATTGCAAGAGATGAGAACTGAAGATATACGTTTAAAAGTATTTATTCATTATGTGGTAGATCAGCCTTGGCGATAGCTGAGGGGAGCTAAGAAGAGTATCATAAAGAAAACAATAAAGTATAGGGGAAGAGCTATGTGATAGTTAATTTTATGTGTCAGCTTAGCTAGGCCACTCTAACCAGATATTTGGTCAAACATTATTCTAGCTGTTTCTGGATGGGTATTTTGTTTTATTAAATTAACCTTTATATCAGTGGATTTTGAGTAAATCAGATTGCCCTCTGTAACGTGAGTGGGCCTCATGCAATCAGTTGAACCTCTTAACAGGAACAAACTGACCTCCCCAGAGGATGTGAAAATTCTACCAGTGGACTGCTTCGAAATTGAACTACAATTTCTTATCTGCATCTGCAGTCTCCAGCCTCCAGCCTGCTGGTCTATCCCATTGTGTGTGTGTGTTCATATCTATATACACACACACACACACACACACACACACACACACACAACCAAAGATTTAAAATAAAATAATTAAAGGGATAGTTGATTTAACATAATTCCAAATCACAAAAGAGGCAGAAAATAAAATTCAAAACATTGACAATTAACCCTCTGTGGCCTTGGTGAAATAAATCATGATTTTGTATGCATGTTTTCTATACCTAAATGCTTTTACTTTTACTGCTTTTGTGTAATTTAACATGAATTCACTTAATCTGTCAAAATGGTAAGACATTACGGAAAGCATGAACAATAGGCATAAAAGGAAATAGGATTGTGATAGTTTAGGAGTCATGGTTCCTTCAAACACAGAATGACTGTTTCTTAGACTCTTTCTAGTTTTACCCTCAGAAAGATATCTGCGGTTCTGAATTTTGATTTGCTGATGGTCTGTATCTGTGATAACATTAGTATGTAGGTGCTTCTTCGACAGGTCTTTCATGAAAACAGAAAAAAAGAAAAAGAAAGGGTTAGTTTAAGTGTTAGTTCGAATAATGAAATATTTACACATATCTCTGCAAGCCTCAGGCAAAAGCAAGCAAGAATCCTGATGACCATGATATAGAGTACTTTGTACCAGAATCTGTAATGTGAAGAGAAACTGGACAGGAAAGCCAATAATGGAAAAACCTCAATTCCATTCAGCCACATTCCAACAGGAAATGCTGAGTCTGAAGGTCCTTTCTGTGCTGACCTTACCAGATTTCAACACAAAGAAGGAGATAGGTGAATGTGGTAGGCCATTTTAAGACTAGAATGGAAGTTAATAATCATCTAATCTAATTCATTTACATTCCTATAAACTAGTGTCCCAGAGAAGTTAAGTGACTAACCCAAGGTCTGACAGGTAGAACTTTTAGAAATAAAATATAGGATACTAGCCAGATCTTCAAAATAGCCGCCTTATATTACCGATAACGTCAGGTCAATCCCATATTAGCCACCACAGCATACAACTAGAAGAATTTATTTAACATGTTGTTAAGCCTAGAACCCCAATGTCCTAATTCCATTCCAGTACTTTTCATTGGAAATATTTTGTTGCTTTAATAATATATACCTATTCTCTACTACTGAGCAAATATATAAATGTATAATCTTCTACTTTACGAAAGACTTTATTTTACTTGTTCTCATAGCAACATCCTGAGGTAACATATAATGATTCTCTTTCTAAGGTCACACAGTTCCTAAGAGCTGAACTGGAACCCAGGTTTTCTGACCTTTTCCAGCACCTTTGAACACATTCTTATTTAGTCCTGAAGTTATATAATCAATTGGTATGTCAGGATAAGAACTCAGGCTTGAGCAGCGTCGGCAAGTGGTTTACTTTACTGACTGATTTGATAAGAAAACACAGATAAAAAACTACAACCACCAGTGAGTTTCATCATTTGGGTTTTGAGGTCTTCAACATCATCAAACAATTAAATACAAGACCAAAGTCTCTGTGTTTCTGATTATAAGAAGCCAAGGAGTAACTTAAAAATAAAAAAGGTAATGAATACAGGCAAAAGCAAATTTGTGTCATGGAAGCATGCATTTATTATAGCATTCAAAATCTCATTTCAGGTTACTAGGAAATGTGAATTCATTTTTAAAAATTTTATTTAATTTAAGTTCTTCCTTTGTTTCCTAATGAAGCCATAAATCCTTTGGGACCAGGCATCCCCACAGATTATGACACATTGCCTTCAGACTCCCTGGCATTCTGATAAAACTGTCAGCAGGTACAGTGATGACAGATATGATACAGAGATCATCATGGCTCTCACTGCCTATATTTTATTGTTTGTTACAGCCATCTTCTATTTCTGGAAAACACTCCCAGCTGCCTGCAGCAGAGCTAGGAGCCAGAGATGGAAAATATGTTGTTTTTCTCACAGTTTACAACCTAACTTGCCTACCACTAATTATGCAGTACAGGTAGGTAGAAATACTAGTAGAAAACATGTCTTGAACACTGGTTCCATTAACTGGTTTCATTACAGTAACCTTATTTCTGATCTTTTCTATTTCAGGATTCTGGAAGACTCATTAAAAACGTTTTCTCTGCAGTGTTTTATAACCTTTTGACATTTTCTTCTTATACAAGTCATGCCAAATTTTTTTCTTAAAGTCTATAAATAGGAAGAGTGAGTGGGAAGAAATGGATACATTAACCCTTTATACATTTATAGCCTGACAGATCTTAAGTGGATAAGTTATACCAATACCTTTGTTATTATTTTATTTTGATGATATGTTGTACAATAACTAAAACATTCTACATGAATTTTGTTATCTACTTTAATTACCGGTGAAGTAGCAAGCATTTAATATTTAATGTGTCTACAACTGATATGAAAATAATAGGGAATTGTGTTCTTTTGCATGACTTTCTGAGGACAATTTGGGCTGCTTTAAAAGAAGGGAGGAAGCCGGGTGTGGTGACTCACACATGTAATCCTAGCACTTTGGGAGGCCGAGGGGGGAGGATTGCCTGAGCTCAGGAGTTCGAGACCAGCCAGGGCACACAATGAAACCCCGTCTCTACTAAAATACAAAAAATTAGCCTGGTGTGGCAGCATGCACCTGTAGTCCCCGCTACTTGGAACGCTGAGGCAGGAGAATTGCTTGAACCTGGGAGGCAGAGGTTCCAGTGAGCCAAGATTGAGCTACTGCACTCCAGCCTGGCGACAGAGCAAGACTCCTTCTAAAAAAACAAACAAAAAAAAACACATGTCTCCCATTATTCTATACTTTTCCAGGGTTCCAGGGCGAGGGAATATGGAGCTATGTATGACTCACAACCCTGGACCTTTTGATAACCTCTATATAAGTCTAGTGTACTCCTGTTAATTACTTATAATTGTTATTTTATACTTCTATATATTTCAGGGTTTATTTTTCCCTTTCATCAAATGATGACAGAAAGCACTATAATAATCTTATTTAGAAATTATATGAATTTATTTGTAGTGTTTATAAAGTCTCTGTTATTGTATAATAGAAATTATTTATTTCATAAATAATCTATAAATTTAATGATAATCAATAGAATCAATAGTTAAACCCTCCAACCATTCATCCTTTACCATAACTACTCTCAAGTTTTAAAATATGCTGATTAAAATTTACTTCCTTTTATATCCATTGGCCACCATTTCTTAGGGGTTATATCTGATCAGACAGATGAATGAAAGAAAAATAATAAAGCAAAATACTCACACACTATTTAATAATCCCTGATAAAAAATTGACTCGCATATAGAAATATATTAATTAAAAATTTATATTTATTATTAGGGTAACTTCTTTCTGAATATCACATTCTTTTCAAAGATTATCATATTTATTATAAGAACAGTACATTTTGTATCTTATAAGTCATCCTTCTTGAGAAATATAATGTGATAAAAGGTATCCATAATCTTGTTTTATAAATAGAGGCACTTTGACATATAAGATTAAGTGGTGGTCACACATCAAAAAATGTGTGAAGTACCTGGGATCAGAAAGTTTACTGAGTCTAGTATTTAAGTAATATGAACTGCTGCCTCAAATGATGAACCAGCCATAACTTCAGTTAGCAAATCTACACCAAATGTCATGCATGTGGTGGAAAATAAAAGATATTGCCATTAAGGTGGTGGTCTGTGATCATTTAAAGGTCTCTAGTATCTAAAATAACTGCCAAATTAATTGTAGGGAAGACCTCTCTCTAACAGATAACAAAGAATGAAGCTTCTTGTGCATTTAAAATAAATGAGGTCAGTAAAGGGATCAATTACCAATTTTTACTCTAAAAGAAAGCATCATTTAATATTCTATAATAGGTTATGGAACAATTTCTGAGCCCACCCCAAAATATGTTCGAATTCTTTCCAGTGTGACAAATTTGACAAACTTCCTTGTCAAATAAACTTGTTACTACTATCCTTAGACTGAAGAAACAACGGTGGTTAACACCAGTTCATATTTCAACCCAAGAATATCTCTATTTTAAAATTTAATTTAAAAAAATTATTTTAGATTCAAGGGGTACATGTGCTTGTTTTTCACATAGGTATATTGCATACCGATGGGGATTGAGTTTCTAGTGTACCACTACACAAATAGTGAACACTGTACATGACAGGTAGTTTTCAGCCCTTGACCCCTCCCATCTTTCCCCCTTTTGGAGTCTCCAATGTCTATTATTTTCATCTTTATTCCCATGTGTACCCATTGTTTACCTCACACAAGTGTGAAAATGTGATATTTGGTTTTCTGTTTCTGAGTTAGTTCATTTAGGATAATGGCTTCCAGCTCCATCCATGTTGCTGGAAAGGACATGATTCTATGCTTTTTTATAACTGTATAGTATTCCATGATCTATATATACCATATTTTATTTATCCAGTCAACCATTGATGGACACTTAGGTTGGTTCCATGACTTTGTAATTATGAATAGTGCTACAATGAACATATAGGTGCAGATGTCTTTTTTTATATAATTTCTTTTCCTTTGGGTAGATACACAGTAGTGGGATTGCTGGGTCTAATGGTAGTTCTATTTTTAGTTCTTTGAGAAATCTCCACAGTGTTTTCCATAGAGATTGAACTAATTTACATTCCCACCAACAGTGTATCAGTGTTCCCTTTTCTCCGCATCCATGACAACATCTGTTGCTTTTTGACTTTTTAATAATAGACATTCTCACAGGCATAAGATGATAACTCATTGTGGTTTTGATTTGCGTTTCTCTGATGATTAGTGATGTTGAGCATTTTTTTCATGTGTTGGTTGGGCACTTGTATTTCTTCTTTAGAGAAATGTCTGTTCAGGTCATTTGCCCCGTTTTTAATGGGGCTGGGTTTTGTTTTCGTTTTTTTTTTTTTTTTTTTTTTTTCTCTTTTTGAGTTTATTTGAGTTCTTCATAGATTCTGGATATTCGTCCTTTGTCAGATGCACAATTTGAAAATATTTTCTCCTATTCTGTAGGTTTTTTATTCTGCTGAATATTAGTTTTGCTGTGCAGAAGCTTTTTAGTTTAATTATGTCCCATTTGCCTATGTTTATTTTTGTTGCATTTGCTTTTAGGGTGTTCTTCATAAATTCATGCCTAGGCCAATCTCGAGAAGAGTTTTTCCTAGGTTTTCTTCCAGGAGTTTTATAGTTTCAGGTATAACATTTAATTCTTTAATCCATCTTGAGTTAATTTTTATGTATGGTCAGAGATAGGGATCCAGTTTCATTCTTTTGCATATGGCTAGCCAATTTTCCCAATACCATTTATTGAATAGCATGTCCTTTCCCTATTGTTTGTTTTTAACAACTTTATCAAAGATTAGTTGGCTGTAGCCATGTGACTTTATATGTAGGTTCTCTATTCTGGTCCATTGATCTGTATGTCTATTTTTGTACAAGTGCCATGCTGTTTTAATTATGATAGCCTTATCATATAATTTGAAGTCAGGCAATGTGATGCCTCTAAATTTATTCTATTTTCTTAGGATTACTTTGGCTAGTCAGAGTATTGTTGGTACCATATAAACTTTAGGATTGTTTTTTCAAATTTTGGGAAAAAATGATGTTGGTAATATAATAGAAATTGCATTGAATCTGTAGATTGTTTTAGGCATATGGTCATTTTAATGACATTGATTCTTCAAATCCACAACCATGGGATGTTTTTCCATTTGTGTGTGCCATCTACAATTGCTTTTATCACTGTTTTGTAGTTATCCTTATAGAGATCCTTAACCTCCTTGGTTAAATGTATTCGTTGGTATTTTATATTTTGCAGCTATTATAAATGGGATTGAGTTCTTGATTTTGTTGTCATCTTGAAAATTATTGGTGTATAGAAATGCTACTGATTTTTGTACATTGATTTTGTATCATAGAACTTTAATTTATTTATCAAGTCTATGAGTCTTTTGGAGGAGACTTAGGTGGTTCTAGGTATAAAATCATGTCATCAGTGAGCAGAGATCATTTAAACTCCTCTTTTCCAATTTGGATGCGTTTTATTTCTTTCTTTTGTCTGATTGCTCTGGGTAGTGCCTCCAGTATGTTGAATAGGAGTTGTGAGAATGAATAACCTTGTCTAGTTCCAGTTCTCAGGGGATATGCTTTCAGCTTTTTCCTATTCAGTGTAATGAGGATGTGGGTTTGTCGTTTGTCATATATGGCTCTTATTATTTCAAGGTATGTTCCACTGATGCCTAGTTCGTTGAAGGTTTTTATCAGGAAAGGATATTGGATTTTATTGAAAGTCTTTTCTGCATCTATTGAGATGATCATACAGTTTTTGTTTTCAGTTGTTTCTGTGATTAATCATATTTATTGATTTGCAGATGTTGAAACATCTTTGCACCCCCTCTAAAATAAAACCCACATTATCATGATGAATTATCTTTTTGATGTACTTTTCCCCCCAGTCTTTTCTGGCTTGTAAGGTATCTGCTGAGAAGTCCACTGTTACTCTGATGGGATTGCCTTTATAGGTGATTAAATGCTTCTATCTTGCTGCCTTTAAAATTTTTTCCTCTATGTTGACTGTGGACTATCTGATTTGGTTTGCTAGTATCTTATTAAGGATTTTTGTATCTAAGTTCATCAGAAATATTCACCTGTAGTTTTCCTTTTTGTTGTGTTCTTTCCTGATTTAGGTATCAGAGTGATACTAGTTTCATAAAATGAGTTAAGAAGGAACCCCACCTCCTTAATTTTGGGGGATAGTTTCAATAAGAGTGGTACCAGCTCTTCTTTCTATGTCTGGTAAAATTTGGCTGTGAATCCATCTGGTCATGGACTTTTTTGTTGTTGTTAGAAGATCTTTTCTTACTGATATGGTTTGGCTCTGTGTCCCCACCCAAATCTCATCTCAAATTGTAATCCCCAGATATCAAAGGTGGGACTTGGTAGGAGGTGATTGGATCATGGGGATAGTTTCCCCCATCCTGTTCTCATGATAATAAGGAACATCTCATGAAATCTGGTTGTTTGATAAGTGTCTGACACTTCCTTGCTCATTCTCTCTTTCCTGCCATCATGTCAGACATGCCTTGCTTCCCCTTCACCTTCCAATATGATTGTAAGTTTCCTGAGGCCTCCCCAGCCATGTGGAACTGTGAGTGAATTAAACCTCTTTTCTTCATAAATTACCAAGTCTCAGGTAGTATCTTTGTAGCAGTGTGAAAAGGAACTAATACAGAGAATTTGTACCAAGGTAGGGGGGCAGTGCTATAAAGATAAGCTGAAAATGTGGAAGTGACTTTGGAACTGGGTAAGAGGCAGAGGTTGGAACAGTTCGGAGGACTCAGGAGAAGACAGGAAAATGTGGGACAGTTTGAAACTTCCTAGAGACTTGTTGAATGGCTTTGACCAAAGTGCTGATAATGATATAGACAATGAAGTCCAGGCTGAGTTTGTCTCAGATGGAGATGAGAAACTTATTGGGAACTGGAGCTATGGTCACTCTTACTATGCTTTAGCAAAGAGACTGGTGGCATTTTGCATCTGCCCTAGAGATCTGCAGAACTTTGAACGTGTGAGTGAGAGAGATGATTTAGGGTATCTGGCAGAAGAAATTTCTAAGCAGAAAAGCATTCAAGATGTGACCTGGATTTTCCCGAAAGCATACATTTATATGCATTCACAAAAAGATTATTTGAAATCGGAACTTATATTTAAAAGGGAAGCAGAGTATAAAGGTTTGGAAAATTTGAAGCCTGACAATGTGATAGGGAAAAAAAATTTCTAGGGAGGAAATCAAGCCAGCTGCAGAAATTGGCCTAAGTAATGAGGAGCTGAATGTTAATATCCAAGAAAATGGGGAAAATGTCTTCAGGGTATGTCAGAGACATTCACAGCAGCCCCTGCTATCACAAGCCCAGAGGCCTAGGAAGGGAAAAATGGTTTCCTGGGCAAGGCCCAGGGGCTCGCTGCTTGTGCAGCCTCAGGACACGGTACCTGGCATCACAGCCTCTGTGGCTCCAGCCGGGGCTAAAAGGGGCCAAGATGCAGCTCAGACCATTGCTTCAGAAGGTATAAGCCCCAAACCTTGGAAGCTTCCATGCGGCATTGGGCCTGTGGGTGTGCAGAAGACAAGAGTGAGCTTTAGGAACCTCCTCCTAGATTTCAGAGGATGTATATGGAAACACCTGGATGTCCAGGCAGTGTCTGGAGGAAATGTGGGATTGGAGTCCCCACACAGAGTCCCCACTGGGGCACTGCCTAGGAGAACTGTGAGAGGAGGCCACCATTCATCACACTCCAGAATGGTTGTTCCATCAGCAGCTTGCACCATGCACCTGGAAAAGATGCAGGCACTCAACGCCAGCTGGTAAAAGTAGCCAAAGGGCTGTATTCTGTCGAACTGCAGGAGTGGAGCTACCCAAAGCCTTGGCAGCCCACCCCTTGCATCAGTGTGCCCTGAATGTGAGAAACGGAGTCAAAGGAGATCATTTTGTGCTTTAAAATTTAATAGCTGCCCTGTTGGATTTCAGACTTGTGTGGGGCCTATGGCCCCTTTGTTATTGGCCAACTTCCTCCTTTTGGAATGAGAACATTTACCAAATGCCTGTACCTCCATTACATCTTGGAAGTAACTACTTTGCTTTTGCTTTTACAGGCTCATAGACAAAAGGGATTTGAACCTGAACTTTGGACTTGAACCTTTGAGTTAATGCTAGAATGAGTTAAGAATTTGGGGAACCACTGGGAAGGCATGATTGGTTTTGAAATGTGAAAAGGACATAAGATTTGGGAGGAGCCAGGAGTGGAATGATGTGATTTGGCTGTGTCCCAACCCAAATCTCATCTTGACTTGTAATCCCCAGGTGTCAAGGGTGGGATTTGGTGGAAGATAATTGGATTATGATGGTGGTTTCCCCCATTCTTTTCTCATGATAGCAAGAGAGTTCTCATGAGATCTGGTTGTTTGATAAATGTCTGGAATTTCCCCTGATCTCTCTCTCTCTCTCCTGCTGCCAGGTAAGGTGTACCTTGCTTTCCTTTCATCTCCCGCCACAATTGTATGTTTCCTGAGGCTGCCCTAGCCATGTGGAACTGTGAGTCAATTAAACCTCTTTTCTCAATAAATGATCCAGTCTCAGGTAGTATCTTTATAATAAATTATCCAGTCTCAGGTAGTATCTTTATAGCAGTGTAAAACAGACTAATATAATTACTGATTCTTTCTTATTATCATCATTATCTAATGTTCTTCCTTGTCTTTTCTTTTACTATTTTTTGGTTCAAAGTCATTGTATCTCATATGAGAATGGCTATTCCTGCTCAATTTTGTTTTCCATTTGTGTGATATATCTTTTTCCACCCATTTACTTTGAGTCTGTACCTATATTAAAGCTAGATGTGTGTCTTGTAGGCAGCAGGTGGATGGTTTTATTATCCAATTCACCACTCTTTTTTGTGGGGCACTTAGGTCATTTATATTCAAGATTAATATTGATATTTGAGGTATTGTTTCTGTGATAGTGTTGTTAGATAATTACCTAGGGGTTTCAACTGTGTAATTGATTTCTAGGTGTAATTGATTCCAATTGTGTAATTGATTTATGTGACTGTTTATGATGGCAAGTGTCATCCTTTAGTTTCCATGTTTAGAATGCCTTTGAATATTCCTTGGCTGGCCAGTCTAGTGGTGATGAATTTCATTAGCATTTGTTTTTCTGGGAAAGCCTTTATCTCTCCTTAATTTGTGAAGCTTAGTTTGGCAGGATATGAAATTATTGGCTGGCATTGTTTTTTCTTTAATAAAACTAAAAATAGTCCCCCAGTCTTTTCTGGTTTCTGCTGCAAAGTCTACTGTTAGTCTGATGGGATTTCCTTTATCAGTGATTAGATGCTTCTCTCTTGCGGCTCTTAGTTTTTTCCTCTATGTGGACTCTGAACAGTCTAATGACTATATGCCTTGGTGAAGTTCTCACAATTTATCTTCCAGGAGTTCTATGAGCTTCTTGCATCTGAATGTCTAAATCTCTCTAAGGCTGTTGAAGTTTTCTTTAATTATTTCCTCAGATAGGTTTTACATACTTTTTATTTTTTCTTCATCTTTCTCTAAAATACTTATAACTCACAGCTTTGGACATTTTACATAACCCTGTATTTCTCAAAGGCTTTGTTCGTGTTTTCAATTCTTTATTTTTTACTTTTGTCTGACTGGGTTAATTTAAAAGACCTATATTCGAGTTCTAAAATTATTTCTTCCACTTGGTCTAGCCTGTTGTTAAAGCTTTCAACTGTATTTTGTAACTTCAATAAATTTTTCATTTTCAGAAGTTTTTTGTTTAAATTGTGTCTATTTCTTCTTTCATGTCCTGAATTGTTTTTATGATTTCTTTCTATTGGTATTGTTTTTTCTTGGATCTCATTGAGCTTCTTTAAAATCAATATTTTGAATTATTTATCTGGTATTTCAATGATTTCATTTTGGCTAGGATCTGTTGCTGTAGAGTTAGTGTTCCCCTTGGGTGGTGTTGTAATACTCCGGTTTTTAATACTTTGGGAGTTGTTTATCGGGTTCTTTTATCTGGATATATTATCTTTCCTTACTTTTTCAATTTTGCCATAATTTGGATGGGATTTTTCTCCCTTTGAGGAGGTGTCTATAATATATAATGTTTTGTAGTCCTTTTGGCTTTGGTTCTGGGTGTTTTCAGTGGCAAGAAATCTTTTTTTAAATTTTATTATACTTTAAGTTCTAGGGTACATGTGCACAACATGCAGCTTTGTTACATATGTATACATGTGCCATGTTGGTGTGCTGCACCCATTAACTCGTCATTTACATTAAGTATATCCCCTAATGCTATCCCTCCCCACTCCCCCCACCCCACAACAGGCCCTGGTGTGTGATGTTCCCCTTCCTGTGTCCAAGTGTTCTCATTGTTCAATTCCCACCTATGAGTGAGAATATGCGGTGTTTGGTTTTTTGTCCTTGCGATAGTTTGCTGAGAACGATGGTTTCCAGCTTCATCCATGTCCCTACAAAGGACATGAACTCATCCTTTTTTATGGCTGCATAGTATTCCATGGTGTATATGTGCCACATTTTCTAAATCCAGTCTATCATTGTTGGACATTTGGGTTGGTTCCAAGTCTTTGCTATTGTGAATAGTGCCATAATAAACATGTGTGCATGTGTCTTTATATCAGCATGATTTATAATCCTTTGGGTATATACCCAGTAATGGGATGGCTGGGTCAAATGGTATTTCTAGTTCTAGATCCTTGAGGAATTGTCACACTGTCTTCCACAATGGTTGAACAAGTTTACAGTCCCACCAACAGTGTAAAAGTGTTCCTATTTCTCCACATCCTCTCCAGCACCTGTTGTTTCCTGACTTTTTAATGATCGCCATTCAAACTGGTGTGAGATGGTAACTCATTGTGGTTTTGATTTGCATTTCTTTGATGGCCAGTGATGATGAGCATTTTTTCATGTGTCTGTTGGCTGTATAAATGTCTTCTTTTGAGAAGTGTCTGTTCATATCCTTCACCCACTTGTTGATGGGATCGTTTTTTTTTTTTTCCATGTAGTTGAACGGTTTTGAGTGAGTTTAGGCAAGAAATCTTTTTAAGTTCCATGGTTATATTTAGCCTTTGTATGGTGGCTTTCTCAACAGCTGGTTGTAGTATTGATGTGCTGGGCTTGTGAGCATACTCACTGCCTCCTGTGGGGTTGGGATGGTGGAGATCTCAGGAGGCTGATCTCATTCCCCAGTGTTTGGCGCTTGTATCAGATTTCCTCTTGTGTTGCACTATTCAACCTGTAGGTCAGAAGGTAGCACTCATGGGTAAGACCTGGCTATAGGTAATCTGGATGGGTATACACTTGATCTTTGTTTTTAGGGGAAGTTCTTTGTTGCCTCAGGTATTGCACTGATCTGTCGAATGCATCATTGTCTGAGCTCTCTTCTCAGTCCCAGAGGGAGGACCAAGATGGGTGAAGGTGAACAGGGCAGGCCTGCCTACAGTTTCCCTAATGGCAGACACAAGCACCAGTACCAAGTGGATGTGGTGAAATAGCCCCCAAGCACACAGAGTTGTGCCTAGGCATGGAGTTGGGAAACCTCTGCTGCCCTAAGTTCTCTGCATGGGGAGAGGGGGCAGCCTAAATTCCTAATCTAGAAGTGTTGATGCTCCAAATGCCTGGAGATATGTGTGGGCGTGGTTTAGAGAGCGTGCTGCCTGCCAAGATCTCTGCACAGGAAGCAAGAGGAGACTCAGGCACTTATCTAAGTGAACAACTAGTCCCTGGCAAGGAATGGAATAACCTCTAATGCAGCAATGTCTTTGCAGGAGAAGGAGAGACAGCTACTAATCCAGGCCAGCAGGTATTTTGATTGCCTGGAAATTGTTCCCTAGCAAGGAGTGGACCAGCTGGTGGTGAAACAAAAGCTTTGCAGGAACGTGAGGGCAGCTCAGGCAGCTAATCCCTACAAGGGACTACACCAAATGCCTATAAATATGCACAGGTGTGAAGTGGAGAGATCACCACTGCACCAAGATCTCTGCACAGGAAGGGTGGGATGACTCAAGCTACTAATCCAGGCAAGCAGGTACTCCAAATGCCTGGAGATGTCCCTGGGAATGAGTGGAGAGGGCTCCTCTGCCTCACAGTCTCTGCACAGGAAGGGTGGCAGCAGCTCAGGCTGCTAATCCAGGTGAGTGTATTCTCTGAATGCCCAGAGATATGCCTGGGCATGGAGCACAGTTAGCCCTGTTATACCACAGTCTCTGCACAGGAAGGATGGGGCCGCTCAGACTGCTAATCTAAGCAAGTGGGTGCTCTGAATGCCTGGAGAAATGCCTGGGTGTGGAGCAGAGAGGACTTCACTGCACCACAATCTCGGGGGCAGGCTGGGGCAACCAGCAGTGACAAACACAGACCAGTTCCAGGTTGCAAAACTTTCCTTGGCTGAATGTTTTGCCACCCAGGATAAACTGTGGTTTCAGCAACTCCCTACCACTTCAGTCTTGCACTGGGAGGCAACCCAATTCAAGCGCTTACTACTGGGGCACTTACCACATTCATCACTCAATTCTGCCTGTGGGAGTACTCCTCCTGCTCTAGAGCAAGTGCTTCCTCCAATCTCTGGCCTAACAGTAAAATGTCTGTGTGGCCATTCTACTGAGTCACCAAACAAAGACTGACTCTGTATATATTAGTCCATTCTGATGCCGCTATGAAGAAATACCGGAGACTGGGTAAATTAATAAAGGAAACACGTTTAACTGACTCACAGGTCCACATTGGGTGGGGAGGCCTCAGGAAACTTACAATCATGGCAGAAGTTATCTTTTTATGGGACAGCAGGAGAGAGAATGAAAGTAAGCAGGGGAAATGCCAGACATATATAAATGCATCAGATCTCATGAAACTCATTCGTTATCATGAAAACAGCATGGGGGAACCTCCCCAATGACCCAATTACCCCTACCTGTCCATTCCTTGATATGTGGGGACTACAATTCAAGAGGAGATTTGGGGTGGGGACACAGCCAAACCATATCACTGTATGAGCCAGAATTAAAAATGGTGTTCTGCTCTCAGTCCCAAATCTAGGAAAATTCCCACACTTCTGGATGTCTTTCCCTTTCAGCATCTCCTAGCCTCTCCTCAAGTTTCAAGAAATAAAGGGCTTTCAAGAAATAAAGGGCTTTCCCTTGGCCTGGGTTACATGTGTCCCTAGTGAGAAGATGAGTCATAAAGAAAGACTCTCTGCCTCTCTCATGTACAGTGGCTTTACTCACTTTTATCAGCCAAATGCCATCCCAGAGGCTGCTTGCCCACCTTCTCTCTGGGATCTGAAGTGTCTTTCACTATTCCAGTGAATTCACATTTTCATTCTTGAAATAAAGTTCATAGAAATGAAATAAAGTTCATACAGTTTCACTATTTCCAAGTGGCTGAGGGATGCTAAAAGCCTCTAATCCACCATCTTGGGGAAAAAAAAGAAAAACTGAATCTCTCATAAAGAGATAAAAGCTTTTATTTAAATGATGGCTGAGATATCATAATTTATTTTATTTTTTTCTTAGACTACTTAAATGTCTTTAAATTCCTCTTATAATTCTGTGATGATTCAAGTAACTTACTGACATAGTTGAACATATTTACGATAGTCATTTTAGAACCAGCTACTTTCACTGTCTTACGTAGAATGTATTAATTTGCTAGAGCTGCCATAACAAAATGCCAGACTGGGCAGCTTAAATAATAAATTTATTTCTCACATTTGTGGAAGGTGGAAGCTCAAGATCAAGGTGCCAGCAAGTTTGCTTTCCTCCAAGGGCCTTCCTTGGCTTGCAGGTGGCCATTTCTGTGACGTGTCCTCAGATGATCTTTTCTATGTGTTCATGCATTTCTGATATCTCTTTGTGTGTCCTTATCTCCTTCCTTTTTTTATAAGGACACCAGTTATATTAGATTAGGGCCCACCCTAATGACCTCATTTTAACTTAATTTTCTCTCTCTCTTTTTTTATTTTTATTTTTATTATTAATTTTTTAAGACAGAGTCTTACTCTGTCGCCCAGGCTAGAGTGCACTGGCATGATCTCAGCAACCTCCACCTTTTGGGTTCAAGTGATTCTTGGTCCTTAGCCTCCCAATTAGCTGGGATTACAGGTATGTACCATCACCTCCAGCAAATTTTTTGTATTTTTATTAGAGACAGGGTTTCACCATGTTGCCCAGGCTGGTCTCAAATTTCTGGCCTCAAGTGATCCACCTGCCTTGGCCTCTCAAAATGCTGGGATTACAGGCATGAACCACTGCACCCGGACATTAATTTTTTTCTTTAAAAGTGCTACCTCCAAATACAGTGACATTCTGAGGAAATGGGTGTTAGGGCTTCAACATATAAATTTTGGGGAGACACGATTCACCTAATAAATAGAGCCATATATTTTTAATATCTAGTAATAACAATTGTAGTGTTTTTCAAAATATTTCTTGAACTACTTTTTCAAATAATAAAATACTGGGTATGTAAAGGCATTCTGCAATTTTATTTTTATTTATTTTTCTTTTTGAGACAGAGTCTAATTTTGTCACCCAGTTCGGAGAGCAGTGGTGTGATCCAAGCTCACTGCAGCCTCAAATTCGTGGGCTGAAAGAATCCTCCCATGTTAGCCTCCCAAGTAGCTAGGACTACAGGCATGCACCACCATGCCCAGCTAATATTTTAATTTTTCTCTTTTGTAGAGATGGGGTCTTTCTAGGTTGCCCAGTCTGCATTCCACAATTTTAAAGGGAAATGACTGCATATAGCAATAGGGTCAAACTGCAACACCATTACACAAGCACAATTTTCATCAAATTTTTAATTACAGCAAAAGCTGGGAGTTTTTTTGCAGGTTTTTATCTTTATTGACTAATCATGTTTATTTTCTCTGAAATGTCTGTTCACACACTTTGTGCTTTTTTATTTTTTTTTTTACTACATTGATTTTATTCACATTGAGTTTTATGTATCTTTATACTAATTTTGTCATTTCCCCACTGTATGTCAAAATTAGTTCACTGTAGGTTTGTGGATATAATTCTGGGTTCTCTAGTCTGTTCCACTGGTCTATGTGTCTGCTTTTATGCCAGTATCATGATGTTTTTGTTACCATAGCTCTGTAGTATAATTTGAAGTCAGGGAATGTGATTCCTCCAGTTTCATTTATTTATTTATTTTGCTTAAGATGGCTTTGGTTATTTTGGGTCTCTTGTAGTTCATACATACTTTAGGATTTTTTTTTCTATTTATGTGAAGAATATTAATGGTATTTTGATGGGGACTGCATTGAATCTGTGGATTGCTTTGGGTAGCATGGACATTTTAACAATATTTATTCTCCCAATTCTTAAACATGGAATGTCTTTCCATTTTTTGATGTCCTCTTCAATTTTTTTATCAGTGTTTTATAGTTTTTATTATAGAGATTTTTCACTTATTTTGTTAATTCCTAGATATTTAATTTTATGTGTGGCCATTATAAATGTTATTACTTTTGAATTTCTTTTTCATATTGTTCGCTGTTAGCATACAGAAATTCTACTTGTATTTCAATGTTTATTTTGTATCCTGTGACTTTACTGAATTTATTTATCAGTTCTAATAGCTTTCTTGTGGAGTCTTTAGCTTTTTCCAAACAAAACATTATATCATTTGCAAACAAGGATATTTGACTTCCTCATTTCCAGTTTGTATGTCCTTTATATCTTTCTCTTTTCTGATTGCTCTAGCTAGGACTTCCAGTACTATGTTGAATTAAGAGCAATGAAATAAAATGGCAAAACATTCGCACAGTAGTGGACTCTTACTATGGTACTTTTAATGAACAGAATTTCTTAATTTTTTCCAGCTTTTTTGAGGTATAATTGAAAACTAAAATTATATGTATTTAGAGTGTACAATGTGATGTTTTAATGTATGTATACATTGTGAAACGATTATCAGAATCAAGTTAATTAACACATGCATCACCTCACATTGTTATCAGTTTTGTGTATGTGAAGTGAGAACATTTAAGTTTTACTCTCTTAGCAAATTTCAAGTATACAATACAGTACTATTAACTATAGTCACTATGTTGTACATTAGATTTCTAGCAAAACTTCTTAATTTAATATAATCAAATTTAACAATATTTTATGTTAAGATTTACTTCATGTGTTTTAAGAAAGCTTTATCTTTTAAACATTTTTTAAAATTTGCCTTTCATCTTTAAATCTTTTTTCCACCTGAATTAGATTTTTATATCACATGAAGTACTGAACAATATCATTTTTACATATAACCCATAACTATTTCTTGAAGAGCTCCTTATTTTCTCATTCATCTGCAGACCCACTTTCCTTATATGCTTCCTCATATAGAAATACATACCTGTGTTTTTGTCTTTTCTAACTATTACATTACATTCCTTTTATTGTGTTGATCCCTGAAAAGAACACCACATTGCATCAATTATTCCAGCTAGTTGTTGAAGCAAATCCTTCAAACTTATTCTTATTTTCTAAAGTCTTATTAAGTCTTGAGCTTCTCTTTTTTAAGTTTAGAATAAAGTTGTAATATCATGTCTTTTGCAGGGACATAAATGGAGCTGTAGGTTATTATCCTTAGTAAACTAACACAGAAACAGAAAACCAAATGCTGCATGTTCTCACTTACAAGTAGGAGCTACGTGATGAGAACACATAAACACTTAGAGGGGAGCAAAACACACTGCGGCCTTTTGGAGGGTGGAGGATAGAGGGTACGAGGAGAGAGAAGATATGGAAAAATAACGAATGGGTACTAGGCTTAATACACCACTGATGAAACAATCTGTAAAACAAATCCCCATTGCACAGGTTTACCTAAGTAATAAACCTGCATTTATACCCCAAACTTAAATAAAAATTAAAATAAATTAAATACATAAATAAATTTACTCACAAGTTTCACAAAGTGAAAAAAAACAACATTAAAAACACTGGGGAGGAGCCAAGATGGCCGAATAGGAACAGCTCCGGTCTACAGCTCCCAGCGTGAGCGACGCAGAAGACGGGTGATTTCTGCATTTCCATCTGAGGTACCGGGTTCATCTCACTAGAGAGTGCCAGACAGTGGGCACAGGTCAGTGGGTGCGCACACCGTGCGCGAGCCGAAGCTGGGTGAGGCATTGCCTCACTCGGGAAGCGCAAGGGGTCAGGGAGTTCCCTTTCTGAGTCAAAGAAAGGGGTGACAGACGGCACCTGGAAAATCGGGTCACTCCCACCTGAATACTGCGCTTTTCCGACAGGCTTAAAAAAAGGCGCACCACGAGATTATATCCCGCACCTGGCTCGGAGGGTCCTACGCCCACGGAGTCTTGCTGATTGCTAGCACAGCAGTCTGAGATCAACCTGCAAGGCGGCAGCGAGGCTGGGGGAGGGGCGCCCGCCATTGCCCAGGCTTGCTTAGGTAAACAAAGCAGCCAGGAGGCTCCAACTGGGTGGAGCCCACCACAGCTCAAGGAGGCCTGCCTGCCTCTGTAGGCTCCACCTCTGGGGGCAGGGCACAGACAAACAAAAAGACAGCAGTAACCTCTGCAGACTTAAATGTCCCTGTCTGACAGCTTTGAAGAGAGCAGTGGTTCTCCCAGTACCCAACTGGAGATCTGAGAACGGGCAGACTGCCTCCTCAAGTGGGTCCCTGACTCCTGACCCCCGAGCAGCCTAACTGGGAGGCACCCCCCAGCAGGGGCACACTGACACCTCACATGGCAGGGTACTCCAACAGACCTGCAGCTGAGGGTCCTGTCTGTTAGAAGGAAAACTAACAAACAGGACATCCACACCAAAAACCCATCTGTACATCACCATCATCGAAGACCAAAAGTAGATAAAACCACAAAGATGGGGAAAAAACAGAACAGAAAAACTGGAAACTAAAAAGCAGAGCGCCTCTCCTCCTCCAAAGGAATGCAGTTCCTCACCAGCAACGGAACAAAGCTGGACGGAGAACGACTTTGACTAGCTGAGAGCAGAAGGCTTCAGACGACCAAATTACTCTGAGCTACCGGAGGACATTCAAACCAAAGGCAAAGAAGTTGAAAACTTTGAAAAAAATTTAGAAGAATGTACAACTTGAATAACCAATACAGAGAAGTGCTTAAAGGAGCTGATGGAGCTGAAAACCAAGGCTCGAGAACTACGTGAAGAATGCAGAAGCCTCAGGAGCCGATGTGATCAACTGGAAGAAAGGGTATCAGCGATGGAAGATGAAATGAATGAAATGAAGCGAGAAGGGAAGTTTAGAGAAAAAAGAATAAAAAGAAATGAGCAAAGCCTCCAAGAAATATGGGACTATGTGAAAAGACCAAATCTACATCTGATTGGTGTACCTGAAAGTGACGGGGAGAATGGAACCAAGTTGGAAAACACTCTGCAGGATATTATCCAGGAGAACTTCCCCAATCTAGCAAGGCAGGCCAACCTTCAGATTCAGGAAATACAGAGAACACCACAAAGATACTCCTCAAGAAGAGCAACTCCAAGACACATAATTGTCAGATTCACCAAAGTTGAAATGAAGGAAAAAATGTTAAGGGCAGCCAGAGAGAAAGGTCGGGTTACCCTCAAAGGGAAGCCCATCAGACTAACAGCGGATCTCTCAGCAGAAACCCTACAAGCCAGAAGAGAGTGGGGGCCTATATTCAACATTCTTAAAGAAAAGAATTTTCAACCCAGAATTTCATATGCAGCCAAACTAAGCTTCATAAGCAAAGGAGAAATAAAATACTTTACAGACAAGCAAATGCTGAGAGATTTTGTCACCACCAGGCCTGCCCTAAAGGAGCTCCTGAAGGAAGCGCTAAACATGGAAAGGAACAACCGGTACCAGCTGCTGCAAAATCATGCCAAAATGTAAAGACCATTGAGACTAGGAAGAAACTGCATCAACTAACGAGCAAAATAACCAGCTAACATCATAATGACAGGATCAAATTCACACATAACAATATTAACTTTAAATGTAAATGGACTAAATGCTCCAATTAAAACACACAGACTGGCAAATTGGATAAAGAGTCAAGACCCATCAGTGTGCTGTATTCAGGAAACCCATCTCACGTGCAGAGACACACATAGGCTCAAAATAAAAGGATGGAGGAAGATCTACCAAGCAAATGGAAAACAAAAAAAGGCAGGGGTTGCAATCCTAGTCTCTGATAAAACAGACTTTAAACCAATAACGATCAAAAGAGACAAAGAAGGCCATTACATAATGGTAAAGGGATCAATTCAACAAGAAGAGCTAACTATCCTAAATATATATGCACCCAATACAGGAGCACCCAGATTCATAAAGCAAGTCCTGAGTGACCTACAAAGAGACTTAGACTCCCACACATTAATAATGGGAGACTTTAACACCCCACTGTCAACATTAGACAGATCAACAAGACAGAAAGTCAACAGGGATACCCAGGAATTGAACTCAGCTCTGCACCAAGCAGACCTAATAGACATCTACAGAACTCTCCACCCCAAATCAACAGAATATACATTTTTTTCAGCATCACACCACACCTATTCCAAAATTGACCACATAGTTGGAAGTAAAGCTCTGCTCAGCAAATGTAAAAGAACAGAAATTATAACAAACTGTCTCTCAGACCACAGTGCAATCAAACTGGAACTCAGGATTAAGAAACTCACTCAAAACCACTCAACTACATGGAAAATGAACAACCTGCTCCTGAATGACTACTGGGTACATAACGAAATGAAGGCAGAAATAAAGATGTTCTTTGAAACCAACGGGAACAAAGACACAACATACCAGGATCTCTGGGACGCATTCAAAGCAGTGTGTAGAGGGAAATTTATAGCACTAAATGCCCACAAGAGAAAGCAGGAAAGATCCAAAATTGACACCCTAACATCACAATTAAAAGAACTTGAAAAGCAAGAGCAAACACATTCAAAAGCTAGCAGAAGGCAAGAAATAACTAAAATCAGAGCAGAACTGAAGGAAATAGAGACACAAAAAAACCCTTCAAAAAATTAATGAATCCAGGAGCTGGTTTTTTGAAAGGATCAACAAAACAGATAGACCACTAGCAAGACTAATAAAGAAAAAAAGAGAGAAGAATCAAATAGACACAACAAAAAATGATAAAGGGGATATCACCACCGATCCCACAGAAATACAAACTACCATCAGAGAATACTACAAACACCTCTACACAAATAAACTAGAAAATCTAGAAGAAATGGATAAATTCCTTGACACGTACACTCTCCCAAGACTAAACCAGGAAGAAGTTGAATCTCTGAATAGACCAATAACAGGCTCTGAAATTGTGGCAATAATCAATAGCTTACCAACCAAAAAGAGTCCAGGACCAGATGGATTCACAGCCGAATTCTACCAGAGGTACAAGGAGGAACTGGTACCATTCCTTCTGAAACTATTCCAATCAATAGAAAAAGAGGGAATCCTCCCTAACTCATTTTATGAGGCCAGCATCATTCTGATACCAAAGCCAGGCAGAGACACAACCAAAAAAGAGAATTTTAGACCAATATCCTTGATGAACATTGATGCAAAAATCCTCAATAAAATACTGGCAAAACGAATCCAGCAGCACATCAAAAAGCTTATCCACCATGATCAAGTGGGCTTCATCCCTGGGATGCAAGGCTGGTTCAATATACGCAAATCAATAAATGTAATCCAGCATATAAACAGAGCCAAAGCCAAAAGCACATGATTATCTCAATAGATGCAGAAAAGGCCTTTGACAAAATTCAACAACCCTTCATGCTAAAAACTCTCAATAAATTAGGTATTGATGGGACGTATTTCAAAATAATAATAGCAATCTATGACAAACCCACAGCCAATATCATACTGAATGGGCAAAAACTGGAAGCATTCCCTTTGAAAACTGGCACAAGACAGGGATGCCCTCTCTCACCACTCCTATTCAACATAGTGTTGGAAGTTCTGGCCAGGGCAATTAGGCAGGAGAAGGAAATAAAGGGTATTCAATTAGGAAAAGAGGAAGTCAAATTGTCCCTGTTTGCAGACGACATGATTGTATATCTAGAAAACCCCATTGTCTCAGCCCAAAATCTCCTTAAGCTGATAAGCAACTTCAGCAAAGTCTCAGGATACAAAATCAATGTACCAAAATCAGAAGCATTCTTATACACCAACAACAGACAAACAGAGAGCCAAGTCATGAGTGAACTCCCATTCACAATTGTTTCAAAGAGAATAAAATACCTAGGAATCCAACTTACAAGGGATGTGAAGGACCTCTTCAAGGAGAACTACAAACCACTGCTCAATGAAATAAAAGAGGATATGAACAAATGGAAGAACATTCCATGTTCATGGGTAGGAAGAATCAATATCGTGAAAATGGCCATACTGCCCAAGGTAATTTACAGATTCAATGCCATCCCCATCAAGCTACCAATGCCTTTCTTCACAGAATTGGAAAAAAACTACTTTAAAGTTCATATGGAACCAAAAAAGAGCCCGCATTGCCAAGTCAATCCTAAGCCAAAAGAACAAAGCTGGAGGCATTACACTACCTGACTTTAAACTATACTACAAGGCTACAGTAAACAAAACAGCATGATACTGGTACCAAAACAAGAGATACAGATCAATGGAACAGAACAGAGCCCTCAGAAATAACGCCGCTTATCTACAACTATCTGATCTTTGACAAACCTGAGAAAAACAAGCAATGAGGAAAGGACTCCCTATTTAATAAATGGTGCTGGGAAAACTGGCTAGCCATATGTAGAAAGCTGAAACTGGATCCCTTCCTTACACCTTATACAAAAATCAATTCAAGATGGATTAAAGACTTAAACGTTTGACCTAAAACCATAAAAACCCTAGAAGAAAACCTAAGCAATACCATTCAGGACATAGGCATGGTCAAGGACTTCATGTCTAAAACACCAAAAGCAATGGCAACAAAAGACAAAATTGACACATGGGATCTAATTAAACTAAAGAGCTTCTGCACAGCAAAAGAAACTACCATCAGAGTGAACAGGCAACCTACAAAATGGGAGAAAATTTTTGCAATCTACTCATCTAACAAAGGGCTAATATCCAGAATCTACAATGAACTCAAACAAATTTACAAGAAAGAAACAAACAACCCCATCAAAAAGAGGGCAAAGGACATGAACAGACACTTCTCAAAAGAAGACATTTATGCAGCCAAAAAACACATGAAAAAATGCTCATCATCACTGGCCATCAGAGAAATGCAAATCAAAACCACAATGAGATACCATCTCACACCAGTTAGAATGGCAATCATTAAAAAGTCAGGAAACAACAGGTGCTGGAGAGGATGTGGAGAAATAGGAACACTTTTACACTGCTGGTGGCACTGTAAACTAGTTCAAACATTGTGGAAGTCAGTGTGGCGATTCCTCAGGGATCTAGAACTAGAAATACCATTTGACCCAGCCATCCCATTACTGGGTATATACCCAAAGGACTATAAGTCATGCTGCTATAAAGACACATGCACACATATGTTTATTCCGGCACTATTCACAATAGCAAAGACTTGGAACCAACCCAAATGTCCAACAATGATAGACTGGATTAAGAAAATGTAGCACATATACACCATGGAATGCTATGCAGCCATAAAAAATGAAGAGTTCATGTCCTTTGTAGGGACATGGATGAAATTGGAAATCATCATTCTCAGTAAACTATCGCAAGAACAAAAAACCAAACACCGCATATTCTCACTGATAGGTGGGAATTGAACAATGAGATCACATGGACACAGGAAGGGGAACATCACACTCTGGGGACTGTTTTGGGGTGGGGGGAGGGGGGAGGGATAGCATTGGGAGATATACCTAATGCTAGATGACGAGTTAGTGGGTGCAGCGCACCAGCGTGGCACATGTATACGTATGTAACTAACCTGCACAATGTGCACATGTACCCTAAAACTTAAAGTATAATAATAAAAGAAAAAAAAACACTCTTGTTATTTTGATTGCACTCTTCTAACTTTTTAAAACAATTTTGGAAAATTTACCAACTTGATAGAATCAAATCTTTTGTCCACAAACATGGTATATGTCTCTAGTTGGACAGTTTCAATGTCCAATCTTGCAATAATACATTGTTACTCTTTTACTTTATAGTAAAAAGTTATTAAAATAAGAAAATGTTTTTATATTAACCCTTTTTGCCATTTCCAGTGCTCTTCATTTTTTTGTGTAGATTCTGCCTAAACATGTTATTTAATATTTCATATAGTTCAGTTCTACTGGCAATGAATTTTCTCAGAGTTTGTTTGTAGGAGTATTTATCTTACTTTCACTTTTGAAAGGTATTTCCTCTGAGTATAGAATTCTAAGTTGAGAGTACTTTATAGATAACACTCTGGGCTTGCAAAATTTCTAAGAAGTTAGCTGTGTATAATATATACTTTTTACCTCGGTCTGCCTTCAAGATATTGTCTTTAACTTTTCAGCATTCTAGAATATTTCTAAAAATCTTCCTTTCTCTCTCTTTCTTTCTTTCTTCTTTCTTTCTCTCTCTCTCTCTTTCCTTTCTTTTTCTTTCTTTTTTTCTTTCTTTTGCCTAGGGTTCTCTAGACTTCTTTGGTCTTGGTTTTCTTTTCTCCAATTTGTTTTAAAAATCATCAGCTATTATCTTTTCACATATTATTTGGCCCACTTCCAAAGTGTCATCTCTTCTCTTTTTGAAACTGCACTTCCATTTTTGTTAGACTTGTTGACATTTCTTAGAGTTCTTGGATGTTCTGCTATGTTTTTATTTTTAAATTATTTATTATTTTTGTTTCTGTTTAGATCAATTCTATTAGCCTATCTACAAGTTTATTATTTCCTCAGCTGTATAAGCAGTACGTATAAAAATTTGTGGTACTCATTTAAAGCATTTCTTAAACAGAGTTTGTCACCTATTTACATAATATTAAGATCTAAATATGTTCTCATTTTTACTAGAATTTATTGTTTTGATCTATGAATTACTAGCAGGACATTTCTAAAGTATCAAATATGGAGATAATTTTAGCTATCTTCTTATTGTTGGCTTCTAACAATTGTCCTGGAATCACAGATTGTAATCTGAAAGGCCAATCCTTTGAAACATGTTGAGACTTACTATATGGCCTACTTTACCGTCAATTTTCCTTAAAGTTTCATGTGGGTATAAAAATAACATATATTTGCTAACTTTCATCTGTAGGGTTTTATACAAACCTAATTTGGTAAAACTTGTTCATTTTGTGCTCAAGTTTATATCCTTATTGATTTTCAAAATTTTATTTGTTGGTGCATGTTCAGTCTCCCAAATACTAGAAGTAGAAACTCAAGCTTCTCACTCTGATGGCAAATTTATAAATTTCTCTTTTTAGTTCTATAAATTTCTGTTTTATGTATTTTGAAGTTATTTTTGACATATATGTTCATAATTTTTACATTTTTAAGAACTGAAAACTTAACTATTAAGTACTATTCCTTTTGTCACTATCAGTGTTTTTTGTTTTAAAGTCTATTTTGTCTAATACTGATAGAATTATACTAGCTTACTTTTGGTTAGCATTAGACTGGTACTTCCTTTTCCATCCTTTGCCCAACAGTGCCTTTAAGTTTAGAGCATATATCTTGTAAAAAGCTATATAGTTTAAAGTCCAGTTACTTAATCTCTATGTTTTAACTTATATTTTATATAACTTTTATCTAGAGTGTGATTAGTGATATTTGGAATAGATTTCTGTTACCTTATTTTGTGCTTTCTGTTCATCCCACTTGTTCTATTCTTTCTCTCCTTTCTTACTTTTGAATTGATTTTTATTATTATTCGTTTATTTTCTTTTTATTGATTTAAAAGTCATATGTCATAGCTTTATTCTAATGTTTACTCTTAAAATATTAATATGTAATGTGTGATTCTGGAATATATTTTTAATTTTGCTAAGAGGACATTTTTGGGACAATTACTAAAACATAAATAAGATCAATACATTAGATAATGATGTTGTATCAATGTTCTGATTATGATACATTTTTGGAAATTATGTAAAAAAGTATCCCTAATCTTAAAAGTATATAAATATTTAGGGGTAATGGAACATTACAATACAGCTTCCTCTCAAATTATTCAGAAAAAAAATAATAATATGTATTGGGGTGTGTGTTGTGTGTGTGTGTGTGTGTGTGTGTGTGTGTGTGTGTGCATGTGTGTGTTTTATGTTAACCAAGATCAAAATGTGGCCAACTTGTTTTTTCCTGTTTGTCAAATGACATCTGATAACACAGGCCCTGAAGTTTCCTGAGCTGAAAATTTTTAAAAGGTTTAAAGGATTTGGAAGAAAGGAAGAAAAACAGAGAGATGAGAGAACAATTTTATCATGTCATATATCTTGCCAATTTTACTTCTAAAATTTTGGCATTTTATATCAAATTCTAAAATTTATATATTAGCAATATAACCCCTTTTTCTTTAATCTACATTGCAAATATTTTCTCCTAATTTTTCAATTGTCTTTTAACTTTACTTAACCAACACAAACATAAGTAAAGCCAGATTCACTATTTTTTCTTTATCACATCTGAATTTTGGGTCATAGTTAGAAAATGTTTCTCTATTATCAGTTTATACTGGAATTTATTCTTATAGTACTTATATGATTTTATTTTTTATATTTAGATTTCCAATGCATTTTAATAATTACATATATGTGTGGTATGAGGTATTAACCTAGTGTTATCTTTTCAGTAGTTTTTTTTTAAATAAAAGATTCATTTATTGACCAAAAACTCAAATCTAACCAGTGTTTTTTATATTTTTTTAATTTTTAAAGTATTTTTTAAAATTCTTGTGGGTACATAGTAGGTGTATATATTTATTGGGTACATGAGATGTTTTGATATATGCACACAATGTGAAATAAGCACATCATGGAGAATGGGGTGTCCATCTCCTCAAGCATTATTTTTTTGAGTTACAAATAATCTGATTACATTCTTTAAGTTATTTTCAAATATACAATTATTATTGACTGTAGTCATCCTGTTATGCTATCAAATAATAGATTTTATTCATTCTTTCTATTTCTTATACCTATTAACTATCTCCACCTCCACCCAAACCTCCCACTATCTTTCCCAGCCTCTGGTAATTATCCTCCTATTCTCTATGTTTATGAGTCCAATTGATTTGATTTTTACATCCCACAAATAAGTGAAAACATGTGATGTTTGTTTTATGTGCCTGGCTTATTTCATTTACCATTGTGATCTCCACTTTCATTCATGTGGCTGCAAGTAACTGGATCTCATTCTTTTTTATGGCTGAATAGTACTCCATTGTGTATATGTACCAAATTTTCTTTATTCATTCATCTGCTGATGGACACTTAGGTTGCTTCCAAATCTTGGCTATTGTGAATAGTGTTGCAATAAACATGGAAGTGCAAATATCTTTTCAATATACCAATTTTCTTTCTTATGGATATATACCTAGGAGTGGAACTGCAGGATCGTATGGTAGCTCTATTTTTAGTTTTTTTGAGGAACTACTAAACTGTTCTCTATAGTGATTGTAATAATTTACATCCTTGGCAACAGAGTACAATGGCTCCCTTTTCTGAAAATTCTCAGCCGCATTTGTTATTGTCTGCATTTTAGATAAAAGCCATTTAAACTGAGGTGAGAGGTTTCATAATAGTTTTGATTTGAATTTCTCTGATGATTAATGATGTTGGGCACCTTTTCATATACCTGTTTGTCATTGGATGTCTTCTTTTGAGAAATGTCAATTCATATTTTTGTCTATTTTTAAATTGAATTATTAGATTTTTTTCCTATAGAGTTGTTTGAGCTGCTTATATATTCTAGCTATTAATCACTTGTCAGAGGGGTAGATTGCAAATATTTTCTCCTGTTCTGTTATTGGCTCTTCACGTTATTGGTTGCTTCCTTTACTTTTACTTCCTTTACTTTACTTTTACTACATTAAAGTGCAGAAACTTTAACTTGATGTGATCCCATTTGCTCATTTTTGCTTTGGTTGCCTGTGCTTGTTGCATATTACTCACGAAGTCTTTACCCAGACCCATGTCCTGGAGATTTTCTGCAACGTTTCCTTATAGTAGTTTCATAGTTTGAGGACTTAGATTTAAGACTTTAATTCATTTTGATTGTATTTTTGTATATGGTGAGAAATAGGGGTCTAGTTGCATTCTTCTGTAAATGGATATCCAGTTTTTCCAGCACCATTTGTGGAAAAGACTGTCATTTCCCCACTGTATGTCAAAATTAGTTCACTGTAGGTTTGTGGATATAATTCTGGGTTCTCTAGTCTGTTCCACTGGTCTATGTGTCTGCTTTTATGCCAGTATCATGATGTTTTTGTTACCATAGCTCTGTAGTACAATTTGAAGTCAGGGAATGTGATTCCTCCCATTTCATTTATTTATTTATTTTCTTAAGATGGCTTTGGTTATTTTGGGTCTCTTGTAGTTCATACATACTTTAGGATTTTTTTTTCTATTTATGTGAAGAACATTAATGGTATTTTGATGGGGACTGCATTGAATCTGTGGATTGCTTTGGGTAGTATGGACATTTTAACAATATTTATTCTCCCAATTCTTAAACATGGAATGTCTTTCCATTTTTTGATGTCCTCTTCAATTTTTTTATCAGTGTTTTATAGTTTTTATTATAGAGATTTTTCACTTATTTTGTTAATTCCTAGATATTTAATTTTATGTGTGGCCATTATAAATGTTATTACTTTTTAATTTCTTTTTCACATTGTTCGCTGTTAGCATACAGAAATTCTACTTGTTTTTGAATGTTGATTTTGTATCCTGTGACTTTACTGAATTTATTTATCAGTTCTAATAGCTTTCTTGTGGAGTCTAGCTTTTTCCAAACAAAACATTATATCATTTGCAAACAAGGATATTTGACTTCCTCATTTCCAGTTTGTATGTCCTTTATATCTTTCTCTTTTCTGGTTGCTCTAGCTAGGACTTCCAGTACTATGTTGAATTAAGAGCAATGACGCGACATCCTTGTCATGTTCCAGATCTTACAGGAAAGGCTTTCAGTTTTTTCTCATTAAGTATGATACTAGCTATGTGTCTGTAGTATATGGCTTTCATTACATTGAGGTATGTTCCTTCTATCCCCAGTTTTTTTAGGGTTTTTATCATGAAGAGATGTTAAATTTTATCAAACGCTTTTTCAGTATCAATTGCAATGATCATTGCAATTGTCCTTCATTTTGTTAATTTGATGTACCACACTGATCGATTTCTTTATGTTGAATTACTTTTGCATCCCAGGGATAAATTCTACTTGGTCTTAATGAGTGATCCTTCAAATATATTGCTGAATTTAGTTTTCTAGTATTTTGTTGAGGATTTTTGCATCAATATTCATCAGAGATACTGGCTTGTAGTTTTCTTTCTTTGATGTGTCTTTGGTTTTGATATCAGTGTAATACTGGCTTCATAGAGTGAGTTTGGGAGTATTTCCTCCTCCTCTATTTTTTGGAATAGTTAGAGTAGAATTGCTATTAGTTCTTCTTTAAATGTTTGGTAGAATTCAGCAGTGAAGCTCTCAGGTCCCATGTTTTTCTTAATTGGGAGACTTTATTATGGCTTCAATTTCATTATTTGTTATTGGCCTGTTCACGTTTTGGATTTCTTCCTGGTTCAATCTTGGTAGGTTGTGTATATCTAAGAGTTTGCCCATTTCTTCTAGATTTTCCAATTTACTGGCATATGGTTGCTCACAGTAGCCACTAATAATCCTTTGAATTTCTTCTATATTAATTCTAATGTCTCCATTTTTATTTCTGATTTTATTTGGATCATCTCTCTGTTATTTTTAGTTAATCCTGCTAAAGGTTTGTCAATTTTGTTTAACTTTTCACAAAACCAACTTTTTGTTTCGTTGATCTTTTGTATTGTTTTTTCATTTCAATTTTATTGATTTCTGCTCTGATTTTATAATCTCTTCTCTTGTACTAATTTTGGGTTTGGTTTGCTCTTGCTTTTCCAGTTCTTTAAGATGTATCATTAGATTGTTTATTTGAAGTCTTTTTTTTCTTATTTGATGTAGGCACTTATAGCTCTTAACTTCCCTCCTGAGTACTACTTTTGCTGTATCCCATAGGTTTTTATATGTTGTTTTTCCATTATTATTCATTCAAAAATAAGTTTCAATTTACTTCTTAATGTTTTTATTGACCCACTGGTCACTCAGGAGCAAATTGTTTAGTTTCCATTTATTTGTATAGTTCACAAATTTTCTCTTGTTATTATTTTCTAGTTTTATTCCATTGTGTTCAGAGAAGATGCTTGATATTATTTCAATTTTTTGAGTTTTTTAAGACTTATTTTGTAACCTAACATATGGTCCATCCTGAGAATGATCCATGTGCAAGGAAAAGAATGTGTGTTTTGCAGGTCTTGGATGAAGTATTCTGTAAGTATCTGTTAGATGCATTTAGTGTATGGAGCATATTAAGTCTGATGTGTCTTTGTTGATTTTCTGTCTGGAAGATCTGCCCAATGCTGAAAGTGGGGTGTTGGGACCTATCTCTCTCTTTAGCTCCAATAATATTTTTTAGAAATCTGGGTGCTTCAGGTTTAGATACATATATATTTAAAACTGTTATATCCTCTTGCAGAATTGACCCCTTTATCATTACATAATGACCTTCTTTGTCTCTTCTTACTATTTTTGTCTTGAAACCTGTTTTGTCTGATATAAGTACAGTGAATTCTGCTCTGTTTTGGTTTCCATGGTCATGAAATATCTTTTTCCATCCCTTTGTTTTCGGTCTGTCTGTGTCTTTATGGGTGAAGTGTGTTTCTTGTAGGCAAGAGATCAGTGAGTCTTTTTTCATCCATTCAGCCAGTCTGTGTCTTCTGATTGGAGAGTTTAATCCATTTATGTACAATGTTATTATATTATTGATAAGGAAGGACTTACTCCTGCCATTTTGTTAATTGTTTTCTGGTTGTTTTGTGGTTTTCTCTTTCTTCTTTCTTTTCTGTCTTCCTCTAGTGAAGGTGGTTGTCTCTGATAACATGAGCTAGTGTTTTTATTTTTATTTTTTTCTGTATCCATTGTATGTTTTCTTGTTTGAGGTTCCCATGAGGCTTGCAAGTACCATCTTATAACCCATTATTCTAATCTAATAATAATTTAACACTATTTGCATAAACAAACACACACACAAAATAAAAACTAATAAAAACTCTATGCCTCAAATTTATCCGCCTGGTTTTTAACTTTTTATTGATTTTATTTATATCTTACTGTATTTACGTGTCTAGAAAAGTTGTAGTTATTATTTTTGATTGGTTTATTGTTTAGTCTTTCTACTTAGGTTAAGGGTAGTATACAACCACAGTTATGGTGCTATATTATTCTGTGTTTTTCTGTGTACTTACTATTACCTATGAGTTTTGGACCTCCAGGTGATTTCTTATTGTTCATTAATGCCCTTTTATTAATATTTCTTATTGAAGTACTCTCTTTAGCATTTCTCATAAGATAGATCTGGTATTGATAAAAATCTCTCAGCTTTTGTTTGTCTGGGAAAGATTTTTTGGTTCTGATTGAAGTACTCCCTTTAGCATTTCTTGTAGGACAGGGCTGGCATTGATGAATTTCCTCAGCTTTTGTTTATCTGGGAAAAGTTTTTCTTTCCCGTTCATGTCTGAAGGATATTTTCACTGCCAATACTGTTCTACAGTAAAAGCTTTTTCCTTCAGCATTTTAGATATGTCACTCTCTTGGCCTGTAAGGTTTCCATTGAAAAGCGTGCTGCCAGATGTATTTGAGCTCCATTGTATGTTATTTGTTTCTTTTCTCTTGCTGCTTTTCAGATCCTTTCTTTATCCTTGACCTTGGGGAGTGTGATTATTGAATATTTTGAGGTAGTCTTCTTTGGGTTAAATCTTCTTGGTGTTCTATAACTGTCTTGTACTTGGATTTTGATATCTTTCTCTAGGTTTTGGAAGTTTTCTGTTGTTATCCCTTTGAATAAACTTTCTACCACTATTTCTTTGTCTATCTCCTCTTTATGGCCAATAACTCTTAGATTTGCCCTTTCCAGGCAATTATCTGGATCCAGTAGGCATGCTTCATTGTTTTTTACTCTTTTTTCTTTTGCCTCCTCTGACAGTTTATTTTCAAATTGTCTGCCTTCGAACTCTCTAATTCTTTCTTCTGCTTGAATCATTCTGCTATTACAGAACTCTGATGCATTCTTTAGTATGCAAATTGCATTTTTCAACTCCAGAATTTCTGCTTGATTCTTTTTAAGTATTTCAGTCTCTTTGTGAAGTTTATCAGTGAGACTTCTGAATTCATTCTCTGTTTTATCTTGAATTTCTCTGCATTTTCTAAACATGGCCATTTTGAATTCTCTGTGAGAAAGGTCGCACATCTCTGCTTCTCTAGAATGGTCCTTAGTGGCTTATTTAGTACATTTGGTGAGGTTATGTTTTCTTGGATGGTGTTGATGCTAATAGATGTTCTTTGGTATCTGGGCATTGAAAGGTTAGATATTTCTTGTGGTCTTCACTGGCTGGGCTTATTTGTAGATGTCCTTCTTTGGAAGGATTTTCAGATATTTCAGAGGACATGGGTGTTGTGACCTAAGCTGTATCTGCTTTACGGAGCATCTCAAGTGCAGTAATTCAGATAATTCTACCAGATCTTAAATAAGTAGGGTAAAATTTGAAGGACAAAATTTGTAATATTAATATGCTTCTACCACATCTCGTCCAAGATCATCAATCAATGCAAGAATCACAGCATTACTGGATAAATCTTTTTGTTCTACCATCTTGCTCCACCCTCTGTCTCCCCAGTTATGTTTTATAATTGTTAGAAAAAATATACCTCTTGGATTTCTCTCTCCCTCATGTATAAAAATGACCCCACATAATTAGATTCTGAAGTGAGATTATGAGGCTTGAATCCATGGATTGAAATGTTAGGGAGATTCAGGATTTCTCTATGCTTTTTTTCTAATAACTGATTAAAAGAAAAATTAGGTGAAATTATAAATTCTTTCTCAGAATGAGGTTTTTTAATGTATAAAATAAAACACATAATATTAAAAAAAAAACCAGATAGATTGAAACATAATTATGAAATATTTTCAAAGTCATTTGTGACAAAGTATATATCCATCTTTTTATAAAGGCATTAAGTAACCAGACCCAGTGGTAGGCCTAATAAGCACCACATTTTAAAGTAGTGAATGTAAACAATATTTTGTGATATTTGTATCAACTATAATTAGATATGAAAACATCTCTGATTTGCAATGGTGAGAAAAATCATAATTACTGCTATTACTATTGTGGTTGATTACCCTCATTCACAATTTAATGCTACATTATTAAAAAAAAAGATTTTTTCCCCAAATAAAGATGAATTCTATCTCTGGACCCCAGGTTAATAATCTGTGCTCTAGATAAAGCACAACTAGCAAAATGTCAGCTGATAAAACAATTTAACCCAGAGATTATCTTCTTTAGACATCAGAATGTTGAAAAGTAAATACATATTTAATGACTCTAGGTGAGTCCTTCACACTTCAGTATCACAACCATTCCTCCCTATGTAGTAGAATGCCTTATTTGCATAGCCTCTTACACTTTATATTTGAGTATAATATTCTTACTCCAGAAGAATATGGCACCATAGAAGCAGTGGTGTCCAGTAATAAAAGGAGAGACAGCCTGACAAAAGTGAGTAAATATACACAGAATAATGCTAAGAACAGAAGACTAAGCAGTGGTTAAAGAATTTATTGATTAAAGAGACAACTAATCTTTTCTATTTCAATTTTTTCTTAGAAGTAAATTATAAACAAAAAATAAAGTGTTTTAACTTAAAATAGCATTGCAATATTTAAGAAAATATTGAAAAATTTTAAAGTGAATTAACCTTACAAATTTTGTCCTTCAAATTTTAGTCTATTTAAGTCACATAAGCCTTATATATAACTTCTACACTTTTATTACTCATATTTTTTCTTTTTCACTTATATTTTTTACAAATAGCAATAAATGGAAAATCAAAAAAGGAACTAAAGCGTCTATAAAGTTAGAAAAATAAAAGCATTGCCTTAACTCAGTTACGTTTCCTGAAAGAAACTATGCAAAGAATTATAACCTAGTTTTCCTTTATGCCCAAGGCTGAGTCATCAACTATTAAAAATACTTCTCTGCTATCTAGCCCATCAGTTGTCCTGAACAAAGACATCTCTTACAAATTAAGGCTTGATTCTAACAATGATAACAGAAGCAATTTGTTTAATAATAGAAGTAAAAACAATGCTTGAAGTGATATTGAAAAAAGTCCACAACCTTAACTAAGTTAGAGAAAGCCAAATATTTATTTAGTATTCACTTTAGGTCAAATCTTCTAAACAGATAATCTCATTTCTACGAATTAGGAAATGTAAATTTTCTACTGTCATATTGATAGTAAGTAGCATAGTTGGGATTAGATTTATATATTATTTTGGAGTCCACTCATCTGACTCTAAAATCATTTAAAATCAGAATGGTTCACTTTAAAAACTGTGTAGGAAATGAGAATAGAAAAACAAGATACAGCCCCTGTACTAAGTCCATTACACTATACAGGAGAATAGTCAGGGAAACAGATCCTTTCAATATATGCTCAAGTTGCTATGGGAACACAGAGCTTCCATATGGTTCTCCAGAGTCCTGTTTCTCTACATTATGCTGCCATTCACCAGAGAATATGCCTGCTAATGTATGCACTATAGTACACAGAGAATAAAAATAATGATGCCTCAGTCATAAGGTTCCTCCATAAGGTGCTATTCTTCTTAAGAATGTACCACTAGTGATGCAAAATAGAAGATATGTACATTTTCATTTATCTCATGGCCATGAACAAATTTCATCAAATTTCTGATAATGCTTGAGAATAACAGCAAAATTAGAACTGTAGCTTACACATTTGCTAAAAGCTTTTTGTATAGGAGGAATTACCTAATAGTCTTTAATCATGGCAGATATAATTTCTAAAACTGCAAATGATTCCAATGAAACATAATCTTTTTTGACATATCTTCAAGTATAGATTATCTCCAAGACAGATGTCATACATGGAATCTCAAGTAATTTATATTCTAAGTAGTTGTGCCCAATATTGTTATAAATGTGTTTCCCTCTTTAATTTATAAATGATTATACTTTGATTTTCTTCCATTAAGAAAGTCTTGAGATAGTTGGTCCCTTTCTTACTCCAGTATACTAAATGGCATTTTGATTGATTTTGTTTGACATGTGAAATTAAGAAAAAGAAAAATGTACTGGTATTTGTTACAGATTGTCTTTTATCTGAGCATAGTGTCAGTTTCTTTTGTTTTGGCACAATGTTGAATTAAATGGAATATCTGAAAAAGCATTATCAAGTCTAGGAATTAATTTTAATATACCAATAGAAGAGATTTCCTAGCAAATACATTTCTTCAATTAACTGAAAACCATACTTTATTCAAATTTTCTTAGATTTTACCTAATGTTCTTTTGCTGTTCTAGGAATCTATCCAAGATATCACATGACATCAACTTGTCATTTCTTCTTAGGCTTCTCTTGGCTGTGACAGTTTCTCAGTATTTCCTTGTTTTTGATGACCTTGATAGTTTGAAAGAGTATTGGCCAGGCATTTTGCAGAATTTTTCTCAGTTGGACTTTTTCTGATGTTTTTCTCATGATTAGACTTAGGTCATGGGTTTTAGGGAGAAAGAATAGAGGTAAAGTGCCATTCTTTCCATGTCATATCAAGAGTACATACTATCAACATGTCTTATCTCTGCTGACTTTAATCTCGATCACCTGATATAATGCTTCTCAGGTTCTCCTTTGTGAATTTACTACTTTCTTCCCTTTATTCTGGAAGAAAGCCATTATCTGCAGCCCATGCTTAAGGAGTAGAAAGTCATGCTCCACCTTTTTGAAGGTGGACTATCTACATACTCATTTGGAATTCTTTTACAGAGATTTGTTTATTCTCTCCTTTTTATTTATTTATCAATCATTTATTTATATCGGTATAGACTTATGAATGTAAATTCAATTTTTATATTATGATTTTCATAGAAAAGAGTTATTCAAGATTTTAAAAGTAAAAGTTATCTCTGAGAAAAGCAAGCAAAGTAATCATATTGAAAAATTTAATTTAGGAATCAAAATAATATTTTAAGAACTGTAAGGCAAAACTAATTTCAATTAACTACTAATATTTCCTACTATCCAATATTTATAAGATATAATAAGAAAGCTAAAAGACACGAACTACATAGCCTCAAGTGGTGATATAGAAATCATCTAGCAAATCCAACTGGTGTGTAAGAAAAACACATGATTCAAAGGTCAGAACAGAGGTTTGATTGTGCTTTGCAAGTTTTGCCTATTTACTAATCAAGTTAACTTAGTATTTATCAATTATAACATTTATTTGGACAGCATACAACAGCATATAACATTCAAATGTCACAAAATTTTACTGATTCAGGAAAGAAAAAGCATATCAAACATAATACGAAAGGAGCAGATCACGAGGTCAGGAAATCGAGACCATCTTGGCTAACATGGTGAAATCCCACCTCTACTAAAAATACAAAAAATTAGCTGGGCGTGGTGGCGGGCACCTGTAGTCCCAGCTACTCGGGAGGCTGAGGCAGGAGAATGGCGTGAACCCGGGAGGCGGAGCTTGCAGTGAGCCGAGATCGCGCCACTGCACTCCAGCCTGGATGACAGAGCGAGACTCCATATCAAAAAAAAAAAAAAAAAAAAAAAAGAGAGAGAGAAAAGAAAAAAAAAAGAAACTCATAGAAAACTTCAAAGTGTTATATTGCTATTTATTTCAAAGACAGCTTGTATATTAAGTGCAAATGCCCATTTTGGTGTAAAACTACAAATTTCACTTGTTTCAAAGTATATATCTGTATATCCTAAAGAGAAATGTCTTAAAAAATAAAAAATGAATTGCTTGACTCAGAATTTGAAATGTTGTTGAAGGAATAATATTACGCTTTTGACCTTGTTGTTTTTTGAACTACTAATATTAGCCTGCCTCTCCTTTATGATTAAAATGCCAAAAACTCTGAAAAGAAAGACATAATATATAATGTCCTACTAAATAAATTGCACATTAAATTCAAGTCTGAAATGGGATATCTTTTATAAAGAAGGAACATGTAAATGACTAAAATTTGCCTAAAACATACATGCATACCTCACTGTATTGTACATGAGTGCTATGTTGCTTACTTCTTATTTTAACTAATTTAAAACAAGTATTAATAGAGCACTGTCTACTATCACAATCACTTGAAGTAAAATATGGAGTAATGCTGAAAAGCATTTCTGAGGTTGTGTGAACACTAGATGCTATATACATTTCTGCAACACTCTCTTTTTGGCCTTAAAGCATTTGTGCATCAAGGCCACAGCGTAAAATAAACAGCATCACCAGGTCCTCAAATCCTCTATCAGCCGCAACGCATGAAAATGTTAACTAGGATTTTAAACTCAATTGCTTACAAGACGACTTAGCTGAAAAGCTGAGTTTTTTCTCATTCAAGACCTTGAAGACACCACCCCTTAGCTCTTCTGTCACAAGGCCTAGGCAAAAAACTGGTTTAAACAACCTTTTCAGTCCTGTTTCTGTTGGACACCAACTTAGCTTTGACTCTCCAAAACATATCACTCAAATGATAAGGGGAGAAAAAGGAAATGTGGAAGATAATTTCTTACCTAAATATCCTGAGTCTCACACTATTTCCTTCTTCATCCTCACTGTTATCTCACTTCGACTTTAAGATGAAGAGAAGTTTCTGAAATTAGAGGAACCTCTAGGTCATTTAACCATGCTAACATAATTAATATTTGAAAAAGGAGAAGAAAAAAATGCTAACTCTGTTGTCACCATTTATTATTCAATTAATTATGTTTTTATTCTTTCTAATAAAAGCTCAAGTTCTTAGTAAAATTACTTATGTCTGAGTTATTGAAAAATTAATTTTGTCTTTGAATAATATCAGAGCAATATCACAGAAAGAGGTTTGGAAATGTTGATTTTTTTGTATACAACCAAGAATATCAGCAACATTCCTGATTCCTGTATCCATTGCTTATATACACTGTATGGAGTAAAACACTTAGTTAAAGAAGAACAACTCATGATAGTTTCTTCAAGAAAACCCACGGTTATTTAATACTATTGTTGCTGTTGTGGTGGTGATGATGGTAACAATCTATTTAAACAGGTATATCCTACATTCACCTTATCCACGAAAATATATCTTAATAAAAGATCCACAAAATATCCAGTCTTCATCAGTGTAACTCTCTAGTATGTCCTCCAGGATAAAATGATTACAACTAAATAAGATACTTGGCAGAACATAATTGTTAGTGTTGTGTGACATCTACTATAAATGATTGTTTAGTTCAAAGTATATCTGAGATGCTTCTAGTTCTAGCTAGTATTAAACTAGTTTTTACTTTGTGAAGATAAAATGAAATGATTTGTACATAAAAAGATGTTGAATCTTCTCTTCCTTAAATCAAGGTGATTTATATTTCACACAGAAAAACAATAATTTAAAAATAAATATTATTTCACGGTAGCTTCAAATTCTAAATAATTTTTGAATAAGACAGTTTTAATAGGTATGTGCATGCAATATAGATGTATTAGTTCATTTTCACACTGCTGTAAGGAAATACCTGAGACCGGGTAATTTATAAATAAAAGAGGTTTAATTTTCTCACAGGTCTGCAAGCTGTACAGGCTTCTGCTTCTGGTTAGGCCTAATGAAACTTAAAATCATTGGAGAAGGTGAAGGGGAAGCAAGCATATCTTCAAATGCTGGCAGGAGAGACAGAGCATAAAGAGGGAGGTGCTACACACTTTCAAACAACCAGATCTTCTGAAAATTCTATTAAGAGACTGTATTAGGGGGATGGTGCAAAACCATTAGAAATCACCTCCATGATCCAATCACTTCCCACCAGGCCCCACCTCCAATTCAACATGAGATTACAATTCAACATGAGATTTCAGTGGAGACCCTTGCCCCATCAAAATCTCATGTCCTTCTCACATTTCAAAGCACAATCATACCTTTCCAACAGTTCTCCAAAGTCTTAACTCATTTCCACCTTACCTCAAAAGTCCAAGCCCAAAATTTCCACGTTACCTCAAAAGTCCAAGCCCAAAGTGTCATCTATGACAAGGTAAGTCCCTTCAGTCTATAAGCAAGTAAAATAAAAAACAATTACTGACTTCCAAGATACAATAGAGGTACAGGTATTGGGTAAATGCTCCTATCCAAAAGGGAAAAGTTGGCCAAAACAAAGGAGCTACAGGTCCCATGCAAGTCTGAAATCTAGCAGGGCAGTCATTAAATCTTAAAGCTCCAAAATAATCTCCTTTGACTCCATGTCTTACATCCAGACTGCACTGACACAAGAGGTGGCCTCCCAAGGGCTTGGAGAGCTCTGGCCCTGTGGCTCTGCAAGGTACAGGCCCTGCGGCTGCTTTCATGAGCTGGTGTTGAGTGCCTGCAGCTTTTCCAGTTACAGGGCGCAAGCTGCTGGTGGATCTACCATTTTGGAGTCTGCAGGACAATAGTCCACTTCTCACAATTCCATTAGGCAGTGCCCCAATGAGGATTCTGTGTGGGGCCCCAACTCCACATTTCCCCCTTGTACTCCCCTAGTAGAGGTTTTCCATAACGGTTCTGTCCCTACAGCAGACTTCTGCCTGGACATCCAGGCATTTCCATACATCCTCTGAAATCTAAGTGGAGGCTCCCAAGCCTCAAATCTTGCCTTCTGTGCACCCACAGGTTTAACACCACACAGAAGCCACCAAGGATTGCAGCTTGTACCCACTGAAGCAGCAGCCTCAGCTGTACCTTGGCCCCTTTTAGCCATGGCTGGAGCAGCTGCAATGCAAGGCACCATGTCCCAAGGCTACACAGATCACTGGGGTCCCAGGCCTGGCCCATGAAACCATTTTTCCCTCCTAAGCTTCCAGATCTGTGATGGGAGGGGCTGCTGCAAAGGTGTCTGAAATGCCTATATTAGTTTTTTCTCACACTGCTATGAAGAAATACCTGAGACTGAGTAATTTATAAAGAAAAGAGTTCAATTGACTCACAATTCCACATTGCTGGGGACCCTCAGGACACTTACAACCATGGTGAAAGGCAAAGGAGAAGCAGGCACCTTCTTCACAGGGCAGCAGGATGAAGTGAGTGCAAGCAGAGGAAATGCCCAATGCTTAATAAAAATACTGGTAGAACTCACTCACTATCAGGAGAACAGCATAGGGGAAACTGCCCCGTGATCCAATTATCTCCACCTGGTCCTACCCTTGAGACGTGGTGATTATGGGGATTACAATTGGAGGTGAGATTTGGGTGGAGACACAAGGCCAAACTATACCAATGTCTTTAAGGCATTTTCCCCATTGTCTTGGCTGCTAACATTCAGCTCCTCATTATTTATGTAAATTTCTGCTGCCAGCTTGAATTTCTCCACAGAAAATGGGTTTTTCTTTTCTACCATGTGGTCAAGCAGCAAGTTTCTCAAACTTTTATACTCTGCTTCCTTTTTAAATATAAGTTCCAGTTTCAGCTAATCTCTTTTCACACACATATGAGCAAATGCTTTTAGAAGCAGCCAGGTCAGAACTTGAATGCTTTGCTGCTTAGAAATTTCTTCCACCAGATACCCTAAATAATCTCTCTCAAGTTCAAAGTTCAACAGATCCCTAGAGCAGGGGCACAATGCTGCCAGTCTCTTTGCTAAAGCATAGCAAGAGTGACCTTTGCTCCAATTCCCAATAAGTTCCTCATCTCCCTCTGAGACTGCCTCAGCCTGGACTTCACTGTCCATATCATTATCAGCATTTTGGTCACAATAATATAACAAGTCTCTAGAGTTCCAAACTTTCCCTCGTCTTTCTGTGTTTTTCTGAGCCTTCCAAACTGTTTCTACCTCTGCCCATTACCCAGTTCCAAAGTCACTTCCACATTTTTGGGCATCTTTATAGAAATGCCCCACTCATCTGGTACCAATTTTCTGTATTATTCCATTTTCGCCTTGCTCTAAAATATTTGAGACTGGATAATTTATAAATAAATTAGGTTTAATTGGCTCATGGTTCTGCAGGCTATACAGGCTTCTGCTTCTAGGGAGGCATAAGGAAACTTACAAGCATGGCAGAAGGTGAATGGGAAGCAAGCACATATTCACATGGCCGGCAGCAGGGGGGTTGGGGGGGAGAGAGAGAGAGGGAGAGAGAGAGAGAGAGAGGGAGGGAGAGAGGGAGAGAGAGAGGGAGAGAGGGAGAGAGGGAGAGAGGGAGAGAGGGAGAGAGGGAGGGAGGGAGGGAGGGAGAGGGAGAGAGGGAGGGAGAGAGAGAGAGGGAGAGTGAGAGAGAGTGAGAGAGAGAGAGGGAGAGAGGGAGGGAGGGAGAGGGAGAGAGGGAGGGAGAGAGAGAGAGGGAGAGTGAGAGAGAGTGAGAGAGAGAGAGAGAGAGAGAGAGAGAGAGAGAGAGAACAAACAGCAAAGGGCAAGATGCTACACACTTTCAAACAACCAGATCTCATGAGAACTCTATCACAAGACTGCACTAGGAGAATGGTGCTAAACCATTAGAAACCACCTCCATGATCCAATAACCTCCCAACAGGCCCCAAGTCTAACATGAGGGATCCAAATTCAATATGAGATTTGGGTGGAGACACACAGCCCAATCATATCAATAGATGTACTGAGAATTAAACATTGACAGTAATTTATGCAATTATGGAGAATATGTAATATATTCTATACTTTGAAGAAATAATATAGAATTCTAGGATGGAGTGGCAAGGATGAAGGGAGGAATTATATTTCCAACTCATCCAAAAATGGCATCATGACAATTTATAAGCAAAAAAGTCTAGACGATGTATCTATTTTAACCCATCAAAAACTAATAGCTGCTTTGCCAAATACTGTTTTTACTGACGTTCACTCTGGCATTAAAGAAAATGCAGGTTCATCTAAACATTTTTAATCTTTAATAAAGAGGAGGCCTGAACCGTGTTTACTACTGTGACCTATAAACTGTGTTTCTACTATAAATAAAGTCAAAGAAAAGATAGTAAACCATTATTTTGCTATTAATGGTGACATTCTTTTTTTTATAATCCTGTCTCTTTTTGTTTTGTAAATCAGATTTTTAAATATGGCCTATCTCTAACTATTTAGGCATATTTAATATAAAAATTATTTCGATCATGTCGGGCCTCTGAGCCCAGGCCAGGCCATCGCATCTCCTGTGACTTGCACGTATACATCCAGATGGCCTGAAGTAACTGAAGATCCACAAAAGAAGTAAAAACAGCCTTAACTGATGACATTCCACCATTGTGATTTGTTCCTACCCCACCCTAACTGGTCAATGTACTTTGTAATCTCCCCCACCCTTAAGAAGGTACTTTGTAGTCTCCCCCACCCTTAAGAAGGTTCTTTGTAATTCTCCCCACCCTTGAGAATGTACTTTGTGAGCTCCACCCCTGCCCACCAGAGAACAAGCCCCTTTGACTGTAATTTTCCATTACCTTCCCAAATCCTATAAAATGGCCCCACCCCATCTCCCTTCGCTGACTCTCTTTTCAGACTCAGCCCGCCTGCACCCAGGTGAAATAAACAGCCATGTTGCTCACACAAAGCCTGTTTGGTGGTCTCTTCACATGTACACGCATGAAATTTGGTGCCGAAACCCAGGATCGGGGGACCTCCCTTGGGAGATCAATCCCCGTCCTCCTGCTCTTTGCTCCGTGAGAAAGATCCACCTACAACCTCAGGTCCTCAGACCAACCAGCCCAAGAAACATCTCACCAATTTCAAATCCGGTAAGCGGCCTCTTTTTACTCTCTTCTCCAACTTCCCTCACTATCTCTCAACCTCTTTCTCCTTTCAATCTTGGTGCTACACTTCAATCTCTCCCTTCTCTTAATTTCAATTCCTTTCATTTTCTGGTAGAGACAAAAGAGACACGTTTTATCCGTGGACCCAAAACTCCGGCGCCGGTCACTGACTGGGAAGGCAGCCTTCCCTTGGTGTTTAATCATTGCAGGGACACCTCTCTGATTATACACCCACGTTTCAAGGGTGTCAGACCATGCAGGGACGCCTGCCTTGGTCCTTCACCCTTAGCGGCAAGTCCCGCTTTTCTGGGGAAGGGGCAAGTACCCCAACCCCTTCTCTCCTTGTCTCTACCCCTTCTCTGCTTTTCCAGGGAAGGGGCAAGTACCCCAACCCCTTCTCTCCTTGTCTCTACCCCTTCTCTGCTTTCCTGGGGCAGGGGCAAGTACCCCTCAACCCCTTCTCCTTCACCCTTAGCGGCAAGTCCCGCTTTCCTGGGGCAGGGGCAAGTACCCCTCAACCCCTTCTCCTTCACCCTTAGTGGCAAGTCCCTCTTTTCTAGGGGGCAAGAACCCCCAAACCCCTTCCCTCCGTGTCTCTACACTCTCTTTTCTCTGGGTTTGCTTCCTTCACTATGGGCAACCTTCCAACCTCCATTCCTCCTTCTTCTCCCTTAGCCTGTGGCTCAAGAACTTAAAACCTCTTCAACTCACAACTGACCTAAAACCTAAATGCCTTATTTTCTTCTGCAATGCCACTTGACCCCAATACAAACTCAACAGTAGTTCCAAATAGCCAGAAAATGGCACTTTGAATTTTTCCATCCTGCAAGATCTAAATAATTCTTGTCGTAAAATAGGCAAACGGTCTGAGGTGCCTGACATCCAGGCATTCTTTTACACATCAGTCCCTTCCTAGTCTCTGTGCCCAGTGCAACTCCTCCCAAATCTTCCTTCTTTCCCTCCTGCCTGTCCCCTCAGTCCCAACCCCAAGCGTCGCTGAGTCTTTCTAATCTTCCTTTTCTACAGACCCATCTGACCTCTCCCCTCCTTGCCAGGCCGAGCTAGGTCCCAATGCTTCCTCAGCCTCCGCTCCTCCACCCTATAATCTTTTTATTGCCTCCCCTCCTCACACCTGGTCAGGCTTACAGTTTCGTTCCGTGACTAGCCCTCCCCAACCTGCCCAGCAATTTACTCTTAAAAAGGTGGCTGGAGCCAAAGGCATAGTCAAGGTTAATGCTCCTTTTTCTTTATCCCAAATTGGATAGCGTTTAGGCTCTTTTTCATCAAATATAAAAACCCAGCCCAGTTCATGGCTTGTTCGGCAGCAACCCTGAGAGGCTTTACACCCCTAGACCCTAAAAGGTCAAAAGGCCATCTTATTCTCAATATACATTTTATTACCCAATCTGCTCCCGACATTAAATAAAACTCCAAAAATTAAATTCCGGCCCTCAAACCCCACAACAGGATTTAATTAACCTCTCCTTCAAGGTGTACAATAATAGAAAAAAGTTGCAATTCCTTGCCTCCACTGTGAGACAAACCCCAGCCACATCTCCAGCACACAAGAACTTCCAAACGCCTGAACCGCAGCGGCCAGGCGTTCCTCCAGAACCTCCTCCCCCAGGAGCTTGCTACAAGTGCCAGAAATCTGACCACCAGTCCAAGGAATGCCTGCAGCCCAGGATTCCTCCTAAGCTGTGTCCCATCTGTGCGGGACCCCACTGGAAATTGGACTGTTCAACTCACCTGGCAGCCACTCCCAGAGCCCCTGGAACTCTGGCCCAATGTTCTCTGACTGACTCCTTCTCGGCTTAGCGGCTGAAGACTGATGCTGCCCGATCGCCTTGGAAGCGCCGTAGACCATCACGGACGCCGAGCTTCCGGTAACTCTCACAGTGGAAGGTGAGCCCGTCCCCTTCTTAATCAATACGGAGTCTACCCACTCCATATTACCTTCTTTTCAAGGGCCTGTTTCCCTTGCCTCCATAACTGTTGTGGGTATTGACAGCCAGGCTTCTAAACCTCTTAAAACTCCCCAACTCTGGTGCCAACTTAGACAATACTCTTTTATGCACTCTTTTTTAGTTATCCCCACCTGCCCAGTTCCCTTATTAGGCCGAGATATTTTAACCAAATTATCTGCTTCCCTGACTATTCCTGGACTACAGCTGCATCTCATTGCTGCCCTTCCTCCCAATCCAAAGCCTCCTTTGCGTCCTCCTCTTGTATTCCCCCACCTTAACCCACAAGTATAAGAGACCTCTACTCCCTCCTTGGCGACTGATCATGCACCCCTTACCATCTCATTAAAACCTAATCACCCTTACCCCGCTCAACGCCAATATCCTATCCCACAGCACGCTTTAAAAGGATTAAAGCCTGTGATCACTCGCCTGCTACAGCACGGGCTTCTAAAACCTATAAACTCTCCTTACCATTCCCCCATTTTACCTGTCCTAAAACCAGACAAGGCTTACAAGTTAGTTCAGAATCTGCGCCTTATCAACCAAATTGTTTTGCCTATCCACCCCGTGGTGCCAAACCCATATACTCTCCTATCCTCAATACCTCCCTCTACTACCCATTATTCTGTTCTGGATCTCAAACATGCTTTCTTTACTATTCCTTTGCACCCTTCATCCCAGCCTCTCTTTGCCTTCACTTAGACTGACCCTGACACCCATTAGGCTCAGCAAATTACCTGGGCTGTACTGCCACAAGTCTTCACAGACAGCTCCCATTACTTCAGTCAAGCCCAAATTTCATCCTCATCTGTTACCTATCTCGGCATAATTCGCATAAAAACACACATGCTCTCCCTGCTGATCGTGTCTGATTAATCTCCCAAACCTCAATCCCTTACAAAAGAACAACTCCTTTCCTTCCTAGGCATGGTTAGTGTGGTCAGAATTCTTACACAAGAGCCAGGACCACACCGTGTAGCCTTTCTGTCCAAACAACTTGACCTTACTGTTTTAGCCTAGCCCTCATGTCTGCGTGCAGTGGCTGCCGCTGCTTTAATACTGTTAGAGGCCCTAAAAATCACAAACTATGCTCAACTCACTCTCTACATTTCTCATAACTTCCAAAATCTATTTTCTTCCTCATACCTGATGCATATACTTTATGCTCCCCAGCTTCTTCAGCTGTACTCACTCTTTAAGTCCCACAATTACCATTGTTCCTGGCCCGGACTTCAATCTGGCCTCCCACATTATTCCTGATACCACACCTGACCCCCATGACTGTATCTCTCTGATCCACCTGATATTCACCCCATTTCCCCATATTTCTTTCTTTCCTGTTCCTCACCCTGATCACGCTTGCCTCGTGCTATCCTCAAACTGCCATTCTTAACTCCTGAAGTAAATAAATAATCATTGCTGGCAGGGCTATGCTGAATCTCCTTAGGCACTCTCTAATCAGATGTCCTGAGTCATCCCAATTCTTAGACCTTTTATACCTGTTTTTCTCCTTCTCTTATTCCATTTAGTTTTTCAATTCATACAAAACCGTATCCAGGCCATCACCAATAATTCTACACAACAAATGTTTCTTCTAACAACCCCACAATATCACCCCTTACCACAAAATCTTCCTTCAGCTTAATCTCTCCCACTTTAGGTTCCCACGCCGCCCCTAATCCCGCTTGAAGCAGCCCTGAGAAACATCGCCCATTCTCTCTCCATACCACCCCCCAAAAATTTTCGCCGCTCCAACACTTCAACACTATTTTGTTTTATTTGTCTTATTAATATAAGAAGGCAGGAATGTCAGGCCTCTGAGCCCAGGCCAGGCCATCGCATCCCCTGTGACTTGCATGTATACATCCAGATGGCCTGAAGTAACTGAAGATCCACAAAAGAAGTAAAAACAGCCTTAACTGATGACATTCCACCATTGTGATTTGTTCCTACCCCACCCTAACTGATCAATGTACTTTGTAATCTCCCCCACCCTTAAGAAGTTACTTTGTAGTCTCCCCCACCCTTAAGAAGGTTCTTTATAATTCTCCCCACCCTTGAGAATGTACTTTGTGAGCTCCACCCCTGCCCACCAGAGAACAAGCCCCTTTGACTGTAATTTTCCATTACCTTCCCAAATCCTATAAAATGGCCCCACCCCTATCTCCCTTCGCTGACTCTCTTTTTGGACTCAGCCCGCCTGCACCCAGGTGAAATAAACAGCCATGTTGCTCACACAAAGCCTGTTTGGTGGTCTCTTCACACGGATGCGCATGAAAGATCACTTTTAGGTTCCTTTGTTTAAATTCTGCCATTTTCTTTGAAGAACACACAAGTCCTTCATAGTATTAATCTGGTTGAAGGATTGTCCTCCCATATATTTAACAATAAAGACCACTGTAAGCTTCTCCCAGCTTCTCTATTAACTCAGGCTGCATATATACTAACATCTATACTAACAAAATGGCTTAACTGAGTTGGTCCACTGGACTGAAAACTTTATATGTAATTTTTTGTAACTCAACCAGTTTACAATGAATAGGTCAGTGCTTAAGTAGCAATATGAAGTTTATGCCTACATATACAAAAAGAAAGAAAGAGAACAGAGGTAACCCACTTACTACCCAAATAATCCAGGTAAAGTTTTGAGGGAAGTCCTGACTTATTCAAGTGGAAATATTTTTTTTTTCTTTATAAGAGATACCTAAAACTAAGTTGGTATAGCTTTAAGAAAGTTTCAAAAACACGGAAGACATGGAAGTTACAATTCCTGTAGGGAGCAGTTTTTATTGACTATGCTTTTAAATCTAATGTTTGTAATAAGTCAAGAGATGTTAAGACTATATAACCACTAAAGAAACAATATGACATGATGTTTTTCTAATACCTGCAGTTTGAAATCCTGCATTTTTATAGCACATCTTATTGAAAATAACAAATCAATTTTCTCCAATTCAAACCTTGAGTTTAAGATGAAACTAAATAGTTTGAGAAGTAAAATATGCTTTAATGTTTTATTATATTTAAGTGGAAGCAAAGGTATACATCAGGAAGAGGAAAGAAAAATAAATCTCTGTACAGTTAGGAATTAAATGAAATTATCAAATTTTACATTGAATGAAAGTTTAGATATAATATATGCAAAGGCCATTACATTTTTCATTTAAATTCATCATATCAGTTTTAGTTTACCCTATTTCTCTGCATATCTTTTCTTTTTTCCCTGTCAATGAGTTGGTAAGAATACTGCATCCATTCTGATTAGCCAGCAGATAAGCAATGTGGAAACTGATTTAAAGTCTCTACCACTGGAGATGTCAAAACAGATGTTACTTTTCTTCAGGATGACAGCGCTGGGCCTGAAATGTCCAACATAATTAAAAATTTTATTTTCAAATGTACTCCACAGTTTATACATACTGCAAGTATGTTTTACCTTTTGAACTTGTAGAGTGCCGTGCTCTGCAAAATGCGAGAGGATTTATTTTACTTTAGATGCCATTTGGGAATGAAATCATTTCATCATTTGGTACCCAGAGATTTCCTTCAGAATTTGGCATGAAAAGACTGGCACTTCATTAAAATGTGCTGACAACTGAAAGAGCAGTTCTAGCAGGACTGGTTTCTCTCACCCTTCTATCTATGAATATCAAGGTTTTTCCCAGTGGGTTATCCAAGTTAGAGAATAAATTAAGGTCTTTATCTTTAGGATGATATTATTTATTTCATTCCCTAAGAGGGAAAAGTTTGGAAGTCCTGTGTTACTTAGTCATATTTCTTTATTGTTTATTTTCTGTAATGTTTTTGAAACTTGAGTAATAAAATACCTGGGAAAAAAATCTTTGTCTTTTCATGACATATGTTCAAAACAAAAGTACAGAACTCACCATACACAACAGAGAAAATAAGCATAGATTTGTGCTCTAATAGGTAAAATGAGGAATCCCAAAAGCATGGATTCTCCAAAGAAGATTCTCTGCCACAAAATGTAAGCTGAAGAGCCCTGACCCACCCACAACCACAACCAAGTACCCTATATCCAGCCTTGAAGGGTCATTTGTTATTCCCATATTCATCTCCTTTAATGGAGAATAAGTTTCCCAAGGTCAAGAAAAGTGTCATGTTTATGTGTTTATCAACTACAGAGGCTTCATGGTGCTTTGCAAGCAGGTAGCTCTCAGTAAATGTTTTTTGAATAAATGTAGTTGGAATGTTGGAAAGCCCCCTACACAGGACTTCTGCACTCTGAGAACAGGATAATGTGGCATAGTAGTCCAGAGCAGCAGCTCTTGCACTTAGCTGCTGGATTTTAATCTCAGCTCTACCACTTACTAGCTTGTGATGTTGGGTAAGTTGTGTCACACTGCTATACCTGTTTCCACATATGTAATATGGTTATTGTGAGGATTAAATGGGATCATACATATGAGATATTAGAACAGTGCCTGGCACATAGTTAAGCACTCAGTAAACACTAGCTACTATTGTCCCCCCTTAATGTGTCAGTGATATGATAATCTAGTAAAAGAGTCACCTTGCACCACCAAGGTATATGCATAAATGCTTAACTTCAAAAGATCTCTAGGTAGTGGAGTTTCAGGCTGTGATTATTGTGAGCTAAGGAATTTAGAGAGTTACCTGTTGGAAATCAAAGAGATGCAGCACCTTTAATCATTCTGGATTACAAGGGATTGCTGAGTTTGAAAGGGTCCTGGGCAAATTTTTGCCTAGTCACTTTTCAAAAACTGTTCCTAAATGCTCATCTGGCCCCAAATAGCTCCCAAGGTCTCTCTTTCCCTTCTCTAAATATGGATATTGTGCTCCTTCTAGATCTTTATGCCCTGAGGATTTAGGCTGTTTAGTATTAGTACACTGAATTCCTTCTTGTCTTTTCCCTGATTTTAAAGAAAATACCACTAGGGGTCTATTGTTAATACTAATATAAAATATTTATATTAGAATATATACTAGTATATATTCTAATATGCATTTTGTTTGATAATATCCTAAAATTTTTTATAACAAATTTTTTTACAACAATATTGCCATGTGAGATTGAAATTGGGCAGTAGCTTTCTTTTTTGCATGATCACATTCAAGCATAAGTAGCAATATTAAGATGGTTTTTCAAAACAGGTCAGAAGGTTTTCTTATTCTTCGATGCTTTCAAAACGTTTAAATAATATCTGAGTTATTTCTTATTAAAAATTTAAAATGGATCATTCATAAAATTATCTCAGTCCAGAGTTTCTAAGGTACAGTTTTGGACAATTTTCCCAATTGTTTATATTTATTAATATATTTGTCATTTCTATCTTTTCTTGAGCCAATCTTGCTATTTTTATTTTTTCATTTCTTTGTATATTTCACTAATATATTCAAAGTTATACTATTGAAAAATTAATCTTATATACCTAATTTCCTCATTATCTATGGTTACTTTGTTTTTACTTATTGCTACGTTTGTCTAATTATGGGACTTTTTTTCTTCTACTGTTGTTTAATCTAGCTAATTGCTTATTTATAATTTTAAGTTTTTTAGACCAAATCTGTAACTAGAATTTTACTTTTTATCAATCTACCTTTTTTGTTTAACAACCCTCCTTCATAAATTTCTTTTTAAACATTTTATTTTAAATTGACAAATACAATTTTGCACATTTATCATGTACAACATAATGTTTTGAAATATATAAACATTATGAAGTAGCTTAATTGAGCTATTCTTCATCTAACATCTGCATTACCTCACATAGTTATTTTTGTGGCAAGAACATTTAAAATCTACTTGTAACAATTTTCAAGAATATATTGTTATAGTCACCATGTTGTGCAATAGATCTTTTGAACTTTTTCCTCTTCTCTAACTAAAATTTTGTATCTTTTGACCAACATTTCCCCCATTCCTCTTCGTTCTATCAGCCAACCGCTGGCAACCACCATTCTATTTTCTACTTCTATGAGATCAACTTTATTAGATTCCACATATAAGTAAGATCATGCAGAATCTGTCTTTCTCTGTGTGACTTATTTCACTTAACATAGTGTCCTCCAGGTTCATTTATGTTGTCGTCAATGACAGGATTTCTTTCTTTGTAAGCAGTATAGTATTTCAATGTGTATCTATACATGTTCTTTATCTAGTCATTCGCTGATGGATGCTTAGGTCGATTCTATATCTTGGCTCTTGTGAATAATGCTGCAATGAATATGAGATTATGGATAATTTTCAACACACTTATTTCATTTCCTTTGGATATATACCCAAAAGTGGGGTTGCTGGATCATATGGTAGTCCTATTATTACTTTTTTGAGGAAACTCTATATTCTTTTCCATGCTGGCTGTACCAATTTACATCCCCTTAAACCGTGTGCAAGAGTTCTGTTTTCTCCACATCTTGGGAAACACTTATTATCTTGTGACTTTTTGATAATAGTCATTCTAACAGGCATGAGATGGTACCTCATTGTTTTAATTTGGATTTCCCTGAAAAGTCAATTCTCTTTTAACTTAATACTTTCTCCTACTTTCCTTAGTTTAATTCATTGACTTCTGCATTTATCTTTGACTGTTTACTTCTGCTTTCTTAGATTTATTTTGTTCTTTTTATAACCTCTCAAAGGAGTGCTTCATTTATTGTTTTTATTTCTTTTTTATATATTGAAAGTACCTAAAGTTATAAATATGTCCTCTGAGTATATCTTTCCTAAAATCCCATAAGTTTTGATAAATAATGCTCTCATATTCATATACTGCATACGAGATGACATCTAAAACAATGTAATTCATAGGTTGAAAATAAAAGGGTAGACAAAGGACAACCAGAAATATACAAATAAAAAGAGAACAGAGAAATATCAATATTGAGCAAAAGTGAATACAATGTGTGGATCATTAAACAAAACAGAATATTGCTTTGTATGTGTGCATGTGTGTTTGTAGGTGTCTGCACACATGCATGAATGATTCCTTCTTCAGGTAAGCTTCTTAGAGAAAACATATGGGTGAAGTATTTTGGGATCTCTGCATATTTACGTTCATTTTTAAGGTACCTTTACACAAAAATGAAAATATGGTAAGTCAAATCTACACTGAGATAATAGTACCGACATGCCAGAATGATTCAAATGAAAATAACAGACATTACCAAGGATTAGGAAGGGCGTGGAGCAACTAGTCTCTATTATATTACCTATGGAAATATAACCCTTTACCAATATTTATTAATACTGACCTTGCAATTCCTCTTCTAGATATATATCTAACAGAAATGCACACATATGTGTCCTAAAGATGATAGTAGAACTATTTGTAATAGCCCAGAACTGGAAACAGCCCAAATGTAGTAAATGGATAAATAAATTATATTTGCATGTATATTTTCAGTTATCTATGGTCGCATAACAACTACTGTAAAACTTGATGGCTTAAAATGCCAATCTATTTTCTAAAATTCTGTGAGTTGGTTAGAACTTTCTTCTGCTGTTCTTGTCTGAACTCACTCATGTGGCTACCATCATCTGATGTCTTCCCTGAATCTGCAGGCTGAAGATGGCCTTTGGAACATGGTACTAGCTGTCACCAGAGTACCTCCATTCTTCTTTCTGCAGAGACTTTCATATTGAGTAGATTAGGTTGGGCTTTTTCACAGCATTATGGTCAAATGGTCTAAGAGAACAAGAGACAAAATTGCAAGGGATTTTAGTGCTGAGCTGTAGAACTTGCATAGTATGATTTCTTTTCTTTTTTTTTCTTTTTTGCATAGTATCATTTCTATCACAATCAATGTTAAAGAAATCATAAGGCCAGCTTAGATTCAAGATGATGAAGAAATAGACTCCATATTTTGATAGCAAGAGAAGCAACATCACATTGCAAAGGGGTGTGTACACAAAAGGGCATGATATATTGGGAGGCGTTATTATAGCAATCTACCACAACCAATATATAGCAATGACAATGAATGAATTAGTGCTACATGCAACAACAGGGATGAACCTCACAATGTTGAGTGGAAGAAGCAAGTCACAAAAGAATAAACACTTCATGTCCCATTTATATAAAATCCAAAAATGGGCCAAACTAATACATGGTGTTAGAAATCAAGAGAGAGTATAAGAAGCACTTCTGTGGTACCATTAATGTTTTATTTCTAGACACATGCAATGGTTATGTGGGAATTTTCACTGTGTGGTAGTTTGTTGATCTTTTTGTTCTTTCGATTTATGAAATTTTCTATATGTATATTTCAGAAGAATTTTTAAAAGAAAACAAAATAAAAACAAAAACAAAATAATTTAGAAATCATGCCAGTACATTCTCATTAATTTAATATTTACCTGGGTACTATTCAATGCCTTTCCTAGAAAATGCGCTAATGGTTACTGTATTAGACCACTTTTTGCATTGCTATAAAGAAATGCCTGAGACTGGGTAAAATTTAAGAAGAGAAAAAGGTTTAGTTGGCTCATGGTTTTGCAGGCTGTGCATGAGGCATAGTGCTGACATCTGACTCTGGTTAGGCCTCAGTAAGTTTACAATCATGACAGAAGGTAAAGGGGGAGTAGTAAGTATATCACATGGCAAGAGAGGAAGAAAGATAAAGTGAAAGAGTTGGTCCCAGACTCTCTTAAACAACCAGATTTCCCGTGAACTACCAGAGTGAGAACTCATCTATCACTAAGGGGATGGTGCCAAGCTATGCATGAGGAATCTGCCCCCATGAGCTAATCACCTCCCACCAGGCCCCATCTTCAACATTGGGAATCACATTTCAACATGAGATTTAAAGGGGACAAACATTGCAACCATAAAATTCTGCCCCTGGCCCCCCAATTCTCATGTCCTTCTCACATTTCAAAATACAATCGTGCCTTCATAATAGTCTTAACTCATTCCAGCCTTAACTCAAAGATCCTAAAGTCCAAAGTCTCATCTGGAGATGAGTTCCTTCCACCTATGAGCCTGTGAGATACAAATCAAGTTACTTATTTTCATGATACAATGGTGCTACAGGCATTGGGTAAACATTACCATTCCAAAACATCAGCCAAAAGAAGGGGGCAATAAGCCCCGGGCAAGCCTGAAACCCAACAGGGAAGTCACTAAATATTAAAGCTCCAAAATAATCTCTTTTGACTCCATGTCCTGCATCCAGGACACACTGGTGCAAGGGGTGGTCTGCCAAGGCTTTGAGCAGCTCCACCCCTGTGGCTTTGCAGAGTGCAGGCCCCATGGCTACTCTGATGGGTTGGAGTCAAGTGCCTACATCTCTCCCAGATTCAAGATGCAAGCTGCCTGTGGGTCTATCATTATGAGGTCTGGAGGACAGCAGCCTCCTTCCCACAGCTCCACCAGGCAGTGCCCTGATAGAAACTCTGTGTAGGAGCTCCAACACCATGTTTTCCTTTGGCACTGGCCTAGTAAAGTTTCTCTGTGGGGACTCTGCCGCTGTGGCAGGCTTCTGCCTGGGCACCCAGGCTTTCCACTACATACTCTGATACCTAGGTGGAAGCTGCACAACCTCCTTCACTCTTGCATTCTGGGTGCCTGCAGGCTTAACAAAATGTGGCAGCTGCCAAGGCTTAAGGCTTGTGTCCTGCAGAGCAGCGACCTAAGCTGTATCTAGGCCCCTTTGAGCCGAGGCTGGAATCAGAGTGGCCAGAATGTGGAGAGCTGTGTTCTGAAGCTGAGCAAGGCAGTAGTGCCCCAGGCCTGGCCCAAAAAACTATTCTTTCCTTCTAGGCCTCTGGGCCTGTTAGAGGAGGGGCTGTCTCCAAAATCTCTGAAATACATTTGGGGCTTTTCCCCCATTCTCTTGGATATTAACACTTGGCTCCCTTTTAATCATGATAATATCTCTAGCAAGTGGTTTCTCCAAAGCCTACTTGGATTACTCTCCTGCCACACGGCTAGGCTGCCACATGGCTACGCTGCAAATTTTTCAAACTTGTATGCTCTGTTTTCCTTCTAAATATAAGTTCCAATTTTTAAGTCATTTCTTTGCTACAGCATCTGATGTAGACTGATAGAAGCAGCCACACCACATCTTGAACACTTTGCAGCTTAAAAATTTCCTCCACAATATGCCCTAAGTCATCAGTCTTAAGTTCAAATTTCCACAGATTCCTAGAGCATGGATGTAATGCAGCGAAGTTTTTTTGCTAGAGCATAACATAGGTGACTTTTACTCCAGTTTCCAATAAAGTCCTCACTTCCATCTGAGACCTCATCAGCCTGTCGTTTACTCTCCATATTTCTTGAGACAGCCTCCTGTGTCCTGTCCCCCCCCCAGTATCACCCCTGACCCCATTACTGTCCATATTTCTATCAGTATTTTGGTCACAACCATTTAACTAGTCTCTAAAAAGTTCCACATTTTCCCTCATCTTCCTTTCTTCTTCTGAGCCCTCCAAACACTTCCAACTTTTGCCCATTATCCAGTTCCAAAGCTGTTTTCACATATTCAGGTATCTTTATAGCAACATCCCACTCCAATTTTCTTTGTTAGGTTATTTTTGCGTTACTATAAAGTAATACCTGAGACTGGGTAACTTTTTAAGAAAAGAGGTTTAATTTGCTGATGGTTCTTCAGGCTATACAAACATGGCTCCAGCATTAGCTTCTGGTGAGGACATCAGGAAGCTTACAATCATGGCAGAAGATGAAGGGAGAGAAGGCAATGTCACACGATGAGAGAGGGAGCAAGAGAGAATGGGGGAGGTGCCATGCTTTTTAAACTACCAGATCTTGCATGAACTGCCAGAGTGAGAACTCACTCATCACCAAGGGGATAGTGCTGCTGCCATTCATGAGTGACCTATCCCATAACCTAAATATTATACCTCCCACCAGGCCCCACCTGAAACATTGGGGATTACATTTCAACATGAGATTTGGAGGAGACAAACTTCCAAACTATATCAGTTATTCATTCCCCTGCTGAGGGAATGAGAAAGATCCAAAAGCTCTGGAAGCCAGTACTGGGGAACTTTGTCTCTATTCTTTTTCTCGTTTTGTTTAAACTCTTACATCAGGATCAGTTTACAGGTCACCACTGTCTTCTGATGAGGTGATTATTTTCTTCTATTCAGATCTCCTTGTTTACCACTGCTAGTGCTGACCAAAGTAGTCATTCCTAGATTATTTCCTGTGTTTTCCTATTTTATCTATTGCAAAGTTGGAGCTTTCCCACCTCAGCCTTCAGTCCTGCTTATCTCAGGAATTGGGAAACTTTTTTTTACATTTTCCCTGGCAAGTCCAGTTTTTTACATGCTTCTAATCGGGGAATATTAATGGAATTTTCCAGAGATTCCTCCACCTAACTGCCTGCAATACTTGGTAACTCTTCCCAGAAATGCAAGTTCTTACTTCCTCTCCCTTCCGCCAATTGGATTAAATTGTTTTTATGCATAGGTGATATTGTGATTAATAATATGGACTATAGAAATTAAATGTCTGAGAATGTAACCCGAACTCAACCTTGTATGGGTTTACTTCCCTCTTTGGGCTTCAATTTCCACATATGTAAACTCGAGATAACAATAGGTCCTACCTCTTGAGTTGTAGTGAAATTTATATAAATTAATTCATGTAAATTAAAAGTATGCCTAGTACATCAAGTACTTGATAGGTGTTTGCTCTTATTATTAAGACATAGCTATTAATGTTTAGGGTAGAACATTGACACATTTTCATAATTTTCACACTGAAGACTTTAATCTTTGATATTTTACTTCTCTTTTAATCATTTCTGTTAGTTTTGTAAATCCAGATCCTACATCTTCGGTGGGGGGGAGGATATCTGTTGCCATTTATTCTTAAAATAAAACAACCAATTTTAGGAAAAAGGTTTTATTGTTAAACTAACATTATGAAGATAGGGATGAGAGGAAAAAAGAATGAGAGGATATGATACACGTCAAGATGTATTTGTGTTTTTTCCCATTCACTGTGCCTCAGATCTGATCTACATTTCAAAGCCAAAGCTTCTCCCTAGGTAACTCTTTGCTCCCAGTCCTTCCAGGTGCCATTCTGCTAGTCCTTTGTGTAGACTAAGGGCAGGAGTGGAGAAAGTACACACAAGGTCATCCATTAGGAGTCAGCCCTAAATTTGTCCTTCTCTTCTTCATCCTCTCTACTCTTCTCCATCCTCAGGTACTACATGTATCTCCAATTGCTTATTTCTCCATTTTCTGAAATAGGGGTATGGGAGGAATACTTTTCAAGGAAAGACATCATTAAATATGAGTTTTTAAAAAATAAGCTGACCCCATATTCCTCGGGTTCCTCTAGACTTTTGATTGTTCTCTTCTCTTCCTCTCCACCACTATTCTAACTCCTTAAACCACTCTAGATATGGTGCAAATAATTGAAACTCTCTAATGACAAGAATTCAGCCTTAAGGGTTTGGTTGTTTGATGGTTTTTAAAAGCACTGGATGGGGTTCATTAAACTGTGATTCAAAAATTTATTCTGTTATATGAGACATTTTGTGACGTGCTCAGAATAAGGAGCTGTGTCATACAGCTCTGATGAGTCTTACGGTTACATGTTCCATGATTCTGATTAAATACAATCATGGATTATAATTCATCAGGCATGATGGAAAGGTTAATTACATAGACTATGTAATCACTATATAGCTGCATGTTTGTCAATTCAGATGTTATCTGTTGTGTGTGATAAGAAAGAAAAAAAAAAGATTCGTTGATGGAAGGATGGGCTAAATTTATTACTTTGGCCAGCTATCATCTTGTTAAATCCTGCTTCTCTCCTAAGAAAATAATCTAAACTTACCCCAGCTTCATACACTATACAGGCATACCCTCTGTTGTGCTTTTTGAGAATTGTCCCATTTGGGGGAAAACAATAAAACAATAGAACAGTGCAATAGAACAGTGGTTATTAAACTTAGATGCAAATTAGAATCACTTGAGAAGCTTTTTGAAAAATCCTATTACTCATGCCACACTCCACACCAGTTAAATCAAAATTCCTGGAACTGGGGCCAAAGCATAAAGAATCCCAGGTGATTCAGAAGTGCAGCCATGGTTGAGAACCACTGAGTCTGAGCCTGTTACTCCACTACTGTCCTTCGCAATTTTCAGACATATTATTGATATTGATCAGACACTAGTCAATTAACCACTCAACTGACCAAAAGGATAAGTTACTTCGTGTTACATAGACATATTTTTAAGTTATTAAAAAGACTTCATGAAGTATTTGTTCAAGAAGTGTTTACTCAAGTTGGCTCTGAGTAGTTTAAAGTAATTAAATAAATATGTTTATATGTACACACACAAAATTAAGTCAAATACCTAGGCATTTTTTGGTAGTCCAATTCGTTACTGTAAACATGATAAGAAACCATAATTTGTTAAGATGGCTTCTAGGAAAATAGAATTCTTGAGTGTTTCAATCAAACTTTTCTTTACCACATAGACCCAATTACTTTTATGCATTTTTAATAAATCTTTTAAAAGGAAATATGCCTTGAGTAAAAGATTTTGAAATCAAAAGAACATACAGCATTAGCACTAAAATACACATAATAAAACCTCTTTTATAAAACTGGCCTTAAAGGACAGAATCAGCATCTACAAGACAGTTGTCCATTTGAATAGGGACTTTAAGGTTCGGGATATTTTAAAAACCCTTGTAACAACTTGCAAAAGTATGTAAAGCGTGTGCATGCATGGGGCTGCCCACTGATATGCATTTTTCTGGAGAGAGGAATCATGGCTTTGATGAGATGCTTACATGCAGTGAGGGGAATCCAATCTCATTAAGGGTGGGATGTTGTTCTAAAATTGATCACAGTTATTAAGCAATAGAGGTGGCAGTTGATATGCACCACATCTCCATCTTTACGGAGACAGCTGAGCATAATGCACTGATTCTAGGCTCAGACAACTTGGACTTAAGTGCTTGCTCTGTAACTTACTTGCTGAGTAAATGCAGCTTTTCAAATTTCAGGTTTCTGGTCTATAAAATGGTGGTAATATCCATCCTACTTACCTCATAGGATTGTTATAGAGTTTAAAATTAAACAACTGTTTGTGAATGCTAAGCTTCAATTCAAAGACAAGAAAAAGATTAGCAAAAAGTGCAAGTCCTGTGTTAAGTAGACTGAGATCTTCCCGGCCAGCACCCATGAAATCTTATTTAAGCCCAAGTAAGAGAGATAGATGTTCAAACAGTTGCTGAAAAAGTGGTTTGCACATGATGTAAGCAAATCTTTGAGAATACTATTGGCATATATTTGGGACCTTCTTGACAAGGTGTGGCATATAGATGCGTGTGCATTTCAGAGTATCCTCCTCTCTTGAATAGAATAACTTTAGTCCAGAGAAATCTTGCACAGTGGTGATTAGCAGAAGCAATAGGAGACAACTCAAGAACCAGAGAGAGGGCAACACACCATTGTAAATCATCTTGGTGACATCTCCAAAAGAAACATGGGCCAAAGGAAGAAGAAATATAGTGACTCTATGCAGTGACTGAGAGGATCGATTCAGGAAAACTCATGAGATTATCTCTGGGGATTTGCAGAAATAGTTGAGGGCATTTTAAGTGTGTCTATGGAGTGGTGATGGTTTGTACTCTTTTACCAGGAAATGAGAGGGAGCAAGAAACTCTTGTTATATCTGGTATTATCACTGAAGAAACAACAATTAGAGTGTACTTAGTTCTATTTGTCTTTGACTTCATATCATTGGTGCAAATATGTATTTTTTCTAAATAAATTCGGTTGTTTATATACTTCTGCTATTTATAGCCTAACCAAATAATTATGCATTTTTATACACAATGAAGTTTATAACCTTGTGCAGATTATGCATGTTATATCTGCCTATCTCCTTCTTAAAAGAATATTTCTAAAATATATCTCTTTCATTTCTCTCTCTCATGCACATACACACACACGCACACACAATTGAGTAAAGCACTAAGAGGTTTGGTGGTTGATTTTATATTCCCTAGATTAGAGCAGGATTTGTTAATAGCCATATTTTTAAAAAGTATCTCTTTCTAACGTTGCAAAAATGTCAAAGTTAAATGAGGTAATCTTTTTTTTTAATTGATTTTTTGCTTTTCTCTCAGGAAGAGATTTTTTACATAATTATTTTCATTCTTATAAATACTCTTGTTTTTTCTCCTTAAGGTTTGGTAACAGATTTCCTGTTTGTAGGTGCTTTTTACAAGATTATTATTAAAAATGTTGTAGTACCCATGTACATAGCAATCAAAAATGGTTCAAGAGCAAATGAATATGACTTGAAAATCTTAGTATTATTTTTGACCCCATTTTCTCCTTCCACCTCTGATTCATCAAGCATTGAGGATCTTCTGTCTTGACCTCTAATCTGCCTCATCTTTATGTTCACACTGAAACACTGTCAGTTTTCCAAACAAACCACACTGCTGTGCCTTGGACTAACATTGCATCCTCTATGATAGACTTCCTCCCTTTGCCTGGTGAACACCATACCATGATTCAAAACTAAGTTTAACCATATGTCTTCTGTTGAGGTTTCCTGAATTACCAATTTTACTCCCAGGTCAGATTAATCACTCCTTCATCTGTACTTCTTTGTGACTGCCTAATCAGCAGGTGTCTCAGGTACAGGCAAAGCTATAGGAATTCCATAAGATGTCCTTGTAATCAGACTGAAATATATTAACCTTCAGAGCCAACCAATAATTTGGCACTCCTTCAAACTGATATTATTTAAATATTTACTTTAAAAGAACAAAAGTAAACTAATTTTCTATTAATAAAAATCGAATATACCTTTAAGTTCAAAATAAGAATATATATGCACATCAAAATTTTACTCTATTTCAATTGTTTTTAGTTAACCTTCTCATCATTTATAATATTAGGCACTATACTAAGAATAGCGATTACATCTAGATAAGATAAAATGCCTTGTCCAAAATATCTCTTAAAGTTTTTTGTTGTAGCTTCTGTTCTGTTTTGTCAGCATACTTTCTGACTAGCCCATTTTTTTCAAAGTTGCTTATTCAATTAATAACACCAAATAATATAAATAACTAATTTTTATCAATAGAATAAATAAATAGTTTTGATTTTACATATATAAAGAAGTTATATATGCCATTATGTGCAGGATTCTTGCTGAAAATACATTTAGATATTCACAATAAGACATAACTCATACTTCACATACTGTTAAGTGCTTAGATTTTTATTTAAAAGTTTTCAGTACTGTTAAATCAAAGTACTATAAATATGTAAATTAGCAAGTTATTCTGAGATAGTTACATCTTAAACATTGCCTTAGAGAAATTCAACTTTTTCTAATTGAGCTTAACCTGAAATGTTGAAAGTCAATCTAAAAAAATTCTAATGGTAATCAGAAAGTTCATTCTATTCTGCCAAGTTTTCCATTTCACATTCCCTTGATAACCTTCACCCATTACATCTCCAATACAAGTCTGGACTTAGACAACCTTGTGACAAGGTGATTAAGCCCTAGTGGCTTTCTGGGTTGGGGAGGAAGAGGATTCAGCAAACTTCTGTATCTCTGTTCCTTGCCTCCCATGGCTCAATCATTCAATAATCAGGTGCTTAACCAATCAGTATAATTCTTAGACTGTCACTTTCAAAGTTGCTACCATTGCTTTTTTTTTCCCACTTTAAACAAAAATAAGTATAAGATTTATCAGTATTACCTATTTATTATCCAGAGTCCTTCAAAATACAGCAGTCTCTCTCCATCTGTTGATGAGTTCATCATCATCTTGATAGTTGCAATGTTAGAAGTCCTTAGTGGCAAGGGCAGCCTCGCATTTGGCACAGATCCTGAAAACACCAGAAGAACCGATGCAATGGAAAATTACCTAAAAATTCAAAAGTTCAAATCATAGAATTTTCAAATGGGCCTTAGTGCTTATCCAGTGCAATTCTATGGGATATTTTGAGGGTATGAGATGGGCAGCATCTGTGTCATCATTAGACTTTGACAGAGAGGAGGGAGTGGTTGGAATATAGTTTTGAAAAAGCAGGTTCTAAAATTATACAGCATTTTGGTTTTAGACACATAGTATTTTTTAAATATCAAAATAATGTTGAAGAGGATGTACAATGTATATGTTTATCACTAGAGGTTTTTTTAAATTGGTGGTTTTAAAGTTCAGTAATTTGGGGGAGCTTGTTTAGCTTCAATCAATATTATAGATTAGGAGACCAAGGCTCTGTAAGATTACAGCTTTCTCTCCTGAGTAATCTCAGAGATGATAAGGACTGAGCACCTGGGCTCCAGGAATAACTGAGGAATAAATTACTCTGAGGAATGAATCTGCATTATTCATCTTTCTGCAGTCCTCTTCAGTAGTTAAGACAATATGATTTTACAGATAGTACATTGTGGCCCCAGAGCAAGTAGACTGTAGTACATTGTGGCCCCAGAGCAAGTAGACTGTTGGTATATAGTCAGAAAATGAATAGCAGAGCCAAGGATAGAACTCAGATTTAATGAATCATTGGTCAATACATCTAAAGCATAACTTTCCAATATAATAGTGACAAACGTAGTTTACACTAGATGTTAACAACGATTCTTTGAGGTAAAAATGATTTATTAGTTTTCATTTTGAAGATAATAAAATGTAATCTCAATAGATGAATAAACAAAATGTAGCATATATATGTATGTGTGTGTATATATATATACAGTGAAATATTATTCAGCCTTAAAAAAGAAAGTAAATCTTGTCACATGCTACAACATGGATGAAACTTCAGGACATTATGCTGAGTGAAACAAGCAAGTCACAAAAAGATAAATGCTGTATGATTATTTTTATATAGGGTACCTAGAGTGGTCAAACTCATAAAAACAGAAAGTAGAATGGTGGTTACCAGAAGGTGGGGGAAGGAGGAAAGAGGAGTTATTTAATGGATATAGAGTTTCAGTTTTGCAAGATGAAAGAGTTCTGGAGATCCATTGCACAAAATGTAAAAAATAGTAAAAAATATATGTAGAATATAATATATATAATATATGATATTTATACACCATATATTATATATATTATATAATATATGTAATATATGATATTTATACATCATATATTACATATATTATATAATATATGTAATATATGATATTTATACATCATATATTACATATATTATATAATATATATTATATATATATAGAGAGAGAGAGAGAGAGAGTATCTCTCTGTCGCCCAGGCTAGAGTGCAATGGTGTGATCTTGGCTCATTGCAGCCTCTGCCTGCCGGGTTCAAGCAATTCTCCTGCCTCAGCCTCCTGAGTAGCTGGGACTACAGGCAAGCGCCGCCAAGTCCGGCTAATTTTTTGTATTTTTAGTAGAGACGGGGTTTCACCATGTTGGCCAGGATAGGACAGTCTTGATCTCCTGACCTCGTGACCCGCCCGCCTCGGCCTCCCAAACTGCTGGGATTACAGGCGTGAGCCACAGCACCCTGCCAAAAATGTGAATATATTTAACAATACTGAACGGTACAATGAGAAAATGGTTAAGAGGGTAAATTTTATGTTATGTGTTTTTTACTGCAATAAAAAAAAAAGAAGTAATCTCAATGATATATAAAACTGCTTAGTAACCGGCATAGTCATGACTCCATTTCTGATTCAAACTTCCGTGTTCTTTACCCGGGACTCCCCTGCGCCAGCCATTTTTCCGGTCATCTCTGTGCGGCTGAATGGATCTCCTGCACAACTGCAAGTCTGTTGCAGTCATGCTTCAGCACTCCTGTGGGGACAACCAGGAGTGAGTACAGGGTCCTTGAAAGACAGAGATTGAGGAAGAAGATCCCCCATCTTGTCATACTTGGAATCCAACATCCCAAGGGAAAACATTAAAACTACCAGTCTTCAACACTGAAAACAAGTAATCACTTGTTTTCATCAATCACTTTCAACACTGAAAACAAGTAAGTAAAATTTGTGGTGTGATCACAAAAGCCATCAGTCCACCAACTTGATCGTTTTATTTTAAAATGGTAAATTCTTGTCGTGGAGACATAAACATGGGAAGATAACACTTGCTCGGTACACAGCCATCACTGGGAAATAAAGCCTAAGAACAGGATTGACTCATGTGGTGAGAAAAAAAAAAAAATTCTAACAGCCCTGAACTCACACCAACACTTTATCTGCTGGCACATTTACAAGGGAAGTTGGAAACCAAATAAAGGATAATTGCCTCTTCTCCACAGGATGTGGCAACTTTCATCTGTACTCCTTTATTTTCAGGCAGTGACAAGGCTTCCCAAATGAGCTAAATGAGTGATTTTGAGTGAGGGATGATATTAAGGTACGAGTTTGTGTTCCTCTCAGACTCTGGATTAATTGCTGTAATATAAACCCACAGCACGATGTGTTTTACACTATCACCCACTTATCTGCAGGCCTGTCTGTGTTAACTTCCACTAATAGCCAAACTGTGCCCTGAATAAGTCACTGATTTGTACAAGATTAGTGCAGATTTGAAGAAAGCTTGTATCTGGTAAAGTTAAAGCTGAAACTATTGAGATTATTCCAATAAATGCTAAACGGATGCTGATGGTTTTCTCCATTCAATAGTGGGAGAAACTTGTTGTTTAATCTGTCTAGAGTGCTTAGGTAACTTCACTTTTGTTACCAAGATTTGTCTTTGAGATCCACAGATTTTCTAAATAAGAGAGTAGGTCATGGTATACCTTTTGTGAGGACACAAAGTACTGTTGCATGTTTTTTTCATTTTTCCTTTAAGAATCTCTACTTAGGACAATTTTCCCAAAAAACATTGCTTTAGTTCACGAAGCTGGGCTAAAAAGAAACCCAAGTAGCATGTATACGTTATATCCAAAATCACCCTTCATCTCCAGCATTCACCCCATATTTTTGGACCAAGCTAGTGGGATGAAATTATTTTTTATTTTTAATTTCAATAGACTTAGGGGTACAAGTGACTTGGTTACATGGATGAATTTTATACTAATCACATCTGGGTTTTTGGTGCACCCATCACCCAAATAGTGTACATTGTACCCAATAAACAACTTACAGAATGGGAGAAAATATTCACAAACTATACATTTGACAGAGGACTGACAGCAAGAATCTAGAAGGAATTCAAACAAATCATCAAGAAATTATCTTTTTAAAAGTGAATCTCTTTCTTTGGGAAACTCAGTTCCTCAAATAAATCTAACAACACTAAGCCCACCTTGCCAGACCTCTAGATAAGTGAAGTACAAATACAGGACTTCTTTCTGGAAACCTTCTACATAGGGATACTTCAGCTAATTTTTAAGCATTAGGAGGTCGATGAGTTTTTAAGTCAGGAGAATCTGCTAGGAGAAATCAGAACTGATCAGAAAACCAAAAGACTGGAGGTAAGGAGGCAAGTTGGTACTTTATAGTAGTAGCTCAAGAAAATAAAAATAGAAGCCTGAATTTAAATAGTGACATTGGGAATGGAGAGGAGCAGATGCATAAAAGGGGTTATGGTAGAGAAAAAATTGATGGTCCTGGGCAAGCTAGTGAATGAGAAGGGGAACAAGTAAAAGAAATCTTGTCAGCATCATCTTCCTAAAGTGAAATTAAGATCTATTATTCACCTGCTTGAATATCTCTGATAGCTTCCCAATATACTTACAGCCTCAACTCCATACAGTGATTTACATGGCCTCATATAACCTGTCTCTGCTTTCTTCTTCGACTTCATTGCTATCCAAATTTTCAGTATAAAGCTCCAGAATTAATGGATTTCCTTTTCCATCTCAGAGTCTATGCACTTGCTAGTCCTGCATGGAACTCCATTCCCCAGACATTTGTGTGACTATCATTTTTTTTTCCTCCACTGAGAAGAACACAGCTGGGTTCTTCTTCCACCTCCTTGATGAAATGTTTCCTGGCCCATATCAGCAGTCATCCCCCAACCCCCAATAGTCACGCTTTAAATCACCGTATTTGTCGTCTTAGAAAGCACCTATCATTATCTGAAATTATTGTTTGTTTTTTTACATGACTTTTCCTTCTCTCTGCTGGAAGCTCAGGTCCCTCAGGGTAAGAATCCTCTTTATTACTAGTGCCTACCATGTAATAGGCTCTCAGATAATTACTTATTAATAAACTGATATCACTGTGTGTGATATTAATAGATTTTTTTAGTTGTTGCAGGGAAAATATACTCTATGCTAAAAAGTTATGGTTTGAGATTAAAACTATTAGACTCAGATATCTTGCTACATCCAAGTGTGATTCATGTATTGAGGTAAGAAGTATGAATTTGTAAGTCTAATGGTGGAATCATTACATACTGAACCCTACAAGAGCTATAAATACTTTTGATAAGGGTGTATTTGATTGAGATAAGTATTCATTAGAAATAAATTTCAAATTTTCAGCACCTAAAGAGAAACAGGCTGTGTCTCAATTTTATCCCAAGACTTTGGAAATTAAAAGTCATATTTTAGAGTCATCTTATGGGAAGAAGGGAGCTGGCATGCTCATTCCATTGATGCTGCAAGCTCTTATAGTATTTGGTTGTATTGTTAGGAAATTAGACTTTTTTTCTAATGGAAATGGTAAGTATGTTTCAGATGAGACTAGAAAAATAGAAATGGCAATTACTAATAAAATGTGAAATTATGAAAATTTATGCAAGGAGCCTTAATAAATGTAACACAAAATGCAAGAGTCTTTATGAAATGTATCCTTCAAAAGACTGTATATATGTGTGAACGTTCTCTCAAGAAAGCCAGCTGTAGTGCATTTTTTCTGTCTTAACAGGAAGTATATTAATTGTATGCTGTATACTATTCAAAAGACTGGTGAATGTATACCCCCCTAACGAAGTTAAATATAGCAAAGAGGAAAAAATAAGCTGTCAAAGTGCAAATATAGATAATAATGAAATTATTTAATAACAAAAGAAAGAAAAACCTTGAATCATATTTAAAGAAGGTAAAATGTCCCCACTTATAAAAACAGCATTTTTATGTTTCCTGTGTCATTATCTAGTACATTTCATCTTTTTGTCATAAAAGATTTTAGCTAATGGTTTTAATCATCTGCTCAATATTATGGTTCTGCGTTTGAGGCTTATTCTGCCTTGGAAGTGGAATAAAAGCATTTGCTACTCTATAATATAAATGCAAGATAAAACAGACTAAATCTGTTGGGTCAAGCAGCAATATTCATTAATAACTACATTATGTTCCCAACACAGGGACCTGTGCAACATATTTACTTAATCTTTTGCCCCTTCCTGACTATTTTTATTTTTACTACTCAGACTGTGAAGTATTAATTGGCCTCATAAAATAAGACATTCACATTTTTGAAAGCAAAAGAATCTCAAAACTGTATATATATATATATATATATATATATGTTCTCAAAACTATATATATATGGATTATATATATATATGTTGCTAATGCAACAGCCATATACATATTTCCCATCAATATTATATGCGATTTTGGGCCAATGGTTGCACAAAATCTAGCTCTATTCAACTCCTAATGTTTCTCATTATAGGAAGACTTGCATGGCAATAGAAAAGTTATTTTTTTCCTATTGAATGCATACACACAGTTAGGCTAGTGATAAACCATTTAAGTTAAAATATTTGTCTTCTCTGGGTATATTGATCAGTTGAAAGAAAACAGTGCACAGTTATCATAACTTTCAGACTTTATCAGCATAAACTTAATTACATAAAATAATTCTAAATTTGGGTTAGCACTATCAAATCATATTTTATCCAATCTGGATGATCATATTTATGGAAAGGGTAAAATTTGTATTTATTTTGATAAAAGTGTGGTGGTTTTGGATGTTAGTTGTGATATTTAGAAATCATGATAGATGTTGCCAAGGCTTATAGGTTACAGGTTTATCACAGAGGAAGAGAAAATTCACCATTATTTAGATCAATCTATTCCTCCAAGCAACAAAGAGTAAGTTATTATTACCTTGCTTTAAGTTGGCCCTTTTCTTTATACATCAAAGGACACCATGTCTACTTTCTCTAGACTAGAGCCTCCAAGGACTCAGCTCAAAGGCTTCTGTCTACCTTTTCCTGGAGCTCTTATATGGTGCATTAGTTTCCTACTGCTGCTGCAACAAATTATTACAAATTTAATGGCTAAAACAAGACAAATTTATTCTCTCATTCTGAAAGTCTGACTTCTGAATGTCAAAGTTCCAAATAAAATTGATAGAGCTTAAGTCAAGGTGTCTACAGGGCTGGCTGGTTCATTCTGGAGGCTCTACGAAATAATCCATTTCTTACCTCTTCCAACCTCTAGAAGCCACATTCCTTAGCTGCGTTCTTTAGCTCATGGCCACATTATTCTAACCTCTTGCTTCTGTAATCACATCTACTATTCACTCTGATCTGCTGCTTCCCTGTTGTAAGGACCATTGTAATTAGAGTGAGTCCACCTGGATAATCCAGGCTACCCTCCCCATCTCAAGATCCTTAACATAATCACACCTGCAAAGTCCCTTTTAAAAAATTATTGTGGCAAAAAAATAGCATTAAATTTATCACCTGAACCAATTTAAATGTACAATTCAGTGGTGTTGATTATATTCACATTGTTGTTAAACAGATCTCCAGGACTTTTCCATCTTGCAAATCTGAAACACTATACCCATTAAACTCCCTTTTCCCACCTCTTCCTTGCCTGTTCTGCTTCTGTTTCTATGACTTTGACTATTTTAGATACCCCATATAAGTGGAATCACACAGTATATGTCTTGATTGGCTTATTCACTTAGCACAATCCCCTCAAGGTTCATCCATGTTGTAACTTGTGACAGGATTTCCTTTCTTTTTAAGATTGAATAATACCCTATTTTATGTATGTATCACATTTATCTACCCATTCATTGATGGATATTTGGGTTGGCTATTGTGAATAGCACTGCTATAACCATGGGTATGCAAATATCTCTTTGGGGTCCTACTTTCAATTCTTTTGGGTCTATATCCAGAAGTGGAATTACTGAATCATATTGTAGTTCTACTTTTAATTTTTTTGAGGCACCTCCATACTGCTTTCCACAGCATTTGCATCATTTTACAATACCACCAACAATGCATAAGAGTTCCAATTTCTCCACATTTTTGCCAATACTTATTTTCCATTTTTTTATAGTAGCTGTCCTAATGGGTGTGAAGTGGTATCTCATTGTTTTTGTTTGTATTTCTCTGATGATTAGTGGGATGTTGAGCATCTTTTCATATGATTGCTGACCATTTGTGTATCATTTTTGGAGAAGTGTCTATTCAAATCTTTTGCCCATTTTTTAAATAAGTTATTTGATATTTTGTTGAGTTGCATTAATTTTTTCTATATTCTGGATATTAACCCTTCAGCGTCTCTTTTGTCATCTAACACGGCATTCACAGGTTGTAGGGACTGAAATTTAGATATCTTTAGGAGACCACTATTCAGCCTACCACATGTGGACTGTCAAGGCCTTCATTCCTCATTATAACACTGGCTCTTATCATGGAAGAACTTGAGAAATCATTAGTCCAGCTTCTACCTATTTTGTCTAGTAATGCACTTTTATTTTAAATTTAATTAAACAATTGACCTGGTTTTTCTACTTTGTTCAGTTTGCCTGAGTATCAAACCTGTGTCATTCATAGTATTTATTTTTTATATTACAAAAATGATATTTGCTCAACAGATCTAATTATTTTCCATTTTTATAGCTCAATGTAGATGCTCCTGATTTTTGCAAGAGACCTTACTAGCTCAGCCAGTCCTGATAGAGCCTATTTTAGCAGGGAGAAGAAAGAATATTCAGGTTCTACAAAATTGTATGTATTTATGGTATGCAACATGATGTTTTTCTACATGTATACATTAAGAAATTATTAAATCATGCTAATTAATATATCCATCACCTCACATACTAATTTTTTTGTGGTGAGAATATTTAAGATCTGTTCTCAGCATTTTTCAAGTATACAATACATGATTACTAACTGTAGCCACTATGCTGTCAAATAGATCTCCAGAATGTACATTTTTGTTACATATTCATCCACTTGGAGCCTTATGGGCCTATCCTCCACCCTCAAGTGTAAGATAGGCAGGGCACAGAATCAAAAAAGAAGATGATTCTCAAGCCTCAAGACTTACTATGATTTGCCTTACTGGGTTTTGAACTTACTTGGTATCTGCTACCCCTTTCTTCTTTCCTGTTCCTTCCTTTTAAAATGGAAATGTCTATCATGTGCCTGTCCCATCATTGTATTTTAAAGTACATAACCTGTTTGACTTCACAGGTTCACAACTTGAAAGCAATTTACCTCCGCATGAATTGTGCCTAGAGTCTCACCCATATCTGATTTAGATGATATTTAGATGAGACTCTGGACTTTAGATTTTTCAGCTGATACTGGAACAACTTAAGACTTCTAAGGCTATTGGAATGGAATGAATGTATTTTCTTTGTGAGAAGGACATGAATTTGGGGGGACCAGCAGTGGAAGGCTATGGTTTGAATGTTTGTGTCATCTCCAAAATTTCATATTGAAATTTAATCCCCAACACAGTAGTATTAAGAGGTGGGCCTTTAGGTGGTTATTAGAGAATGACAGCTCTGGCTTCATGAATGGAATTAGCGCCTTATAAAAGAGCTGGAGGAAATGAGCTACACCCTTTCACCTATTGCCATGCCGAAGACACAGCTAGAAGGCCCTCCCCAGACTCTGAATGCCAGCTCCTTGATCTTGGAATTCCCAGCCTCTAGAACTGTGAGAAATAAATTTACATTATTTATAAGTTACTCAGCTATGGTATTTTGTTGTAACAGCACAAATGTACTGAGACAAGGTGCTTCGCCTATTTCAAAATTAGGTTATTTGTGTCCTTGTTATTGAATCGTTTGAGTTCCTTATGTACTTTATATGTTAGCCCCTTATTAGATGTATGGCTTGCAAATATTTTCTCACATTCTGTAGGTTGTCTCTTCACTCTGCTTATTGTTTTCTTTGCTGTACAGAAGCTTATTAGTTTGATATAATCACATTTGTCCATTTTTGTTTTTGTTATCTGTGCTTTTGGGGTCATATCCAAAACATTATTGCCCAATTATTGTCAAAAAGCTTTTCCCTGTGTTTTTTCTAGCAGTCTTACATTTAAGTCTTTAACTTATTTTGAGTTGATTTTTGTGTATGGTATCAGAGAGGGGTCTAATTTTATTCTTCTGCTTATGGATATCCAGTTTTCCTGACACCATTTATTGAAGACACTATCCTTTCACCATTGTGTGTTCTTGGCACCTTCAGTTGACTGTAAATCCATAGACTCATATCTTGGCTGTCTATTCTGTTCCATTGGTTTATATGTCTGTTTTTATGCCAGGACTGTGCTGTTTTGTTATAGCTTTGTAGTATATTTTGAGATCAGATAGTGTAATGCCTCCAGCTTAGTTCCACCCACAGGATTATAAATAGGGTTAAAAGAGCTAATGTTATTTTTATCTATTTTAACTACATTCCATTTTCATATCATTTTTGGATTTGAAATTTCACTGAGAGTCCAACATGGATTACTTAAAATTCTGCATATCATCAGCACAGTCCCAGTTATTTCAATGATTACTGTGTGCTAAATGCAGCATTAGAAATACTGGGATTATGAGGTAATTAATCATGACTCAACAACATGAATGTTACTCACTACCTACATTTCTTCCTCATTTACAAATTGATCATTTCAAAACCATTACAGAACTGGAAAAATGGTTCCTCTACAAGGAAAATATATTCCACCAAGAACTAAGTCTAGACAGAGACAATTTCTAATCAATCAGATCTATGGATCTCACCAGGGGCACAACATTCCCTAAGGCTGCTGAAATGGGATGGGATCATCACATGACTGAGCAATCCTGCTGCCTCTTCTTATTACAATGCATCCTGTGGCTGGAGGGAACCTTTAATGCTTTGGTTTACCAGGGCTGTGGCATTAGTAGCATGAACAACATTAAATAATACGAGTCATCCTTGTCCTCAGGAAAAATTCAAGGAAAATAAGCCTTTTCAGCTATCTTTGATGGCATTTTCCATTTCTGCTCCAGTAACTAGATGTTGAGTACTAAGTCATGGGAAATACAACATATGTTGAAACAACTCCAAGAGGAGGCACATCATTCTAGTGATGTTGCAATGATGCCAAATGAAAAAAATATACAAGATTATTAAAGATTTTTTTAAGTCATGAAATATAATCACTTTGATAATTATCTGAACGATAATTCAATTCTATCATAGATCAGTACACATCATCATTAAACTAATTTTATAGGTGATGCTTTTATGGAAATGGTTAGTTATTAGATATCAAAAATAAAGCAAGGTTGTTAAAGTTGTTTACAAACAAAAATATAACGTTTTCTTTGCAAAATTTTCCTGGCATTTTATTCAAAGACATATTAGTTCAAAAAAATTATAAAAGTATTTGACTCTTCACGATAAAGCATTGGAGGGATAGTTTTAAAATAAGATAATATTTAAAATAATTTAATAATAATAGCAATAGTATTAATGCCACTGTCCTAACATGTTCACATATCGTCTGCCACATGAATTTATATTTACATCAATTATATAATCCACACATATTCAATTTCTTATGTTTGACTCAGCATTACTCAAACATTTTCAGTATTTCTACATAGTCTTCATAATGTTCTGTTATTTTCCTTCAAGTTTTTCTTTTCACATATGTCACCCCCTTTTAATATGGCTTTAAAATATAGATCATGCTCTCTTTTTAATGTTTTACAAGGAATTGAATTATTTTAATATAATTTAAATTAACATAACAATTCTAGCACATATTACTTGCTAATTATTAATGCATAACAAATCAAGCACAAATTTATTTTTATTCCTTTTATTTAAATAAAACAATTTCAATTAGGGTCTTTTTCTCTTTCTGAATCTCATTCTCCCAATGCAAATTTACTAGTTTGTACTGAGATTTAATATTTCCATACTAAGGTTTTTACCTGTTATGTTCTGCTTTTGTTTTAACAGATAAATGAATTTCAAATAATTCAGTTTATTATGGTCATAACAACAAACACTAACTCATCACACACACACACACCTTTTATTGTGTTATCTCTAGAAGGTATGGTTCTTTTCTTCTATAATTATAAGACCAATTTTCAGTAGCCTCCCTGATATAAACTTCTCTTTCTTCTTATCCACATTCCCAACTACCCCAGCTAGGGTGTCATTTTTCTTCTGGATTTCTAAATAAGTGTTGTTTAATAATATTTACATAACAGATATGTAGAAAATATTTTGAGTTTAATAATTAGAGAATATTTTTCAGTAGACTTCACCTATGAATAATGGTTTGATAATTTCTTTAGTTCCCAATTTTTCCCCCACTTCTTCCCTATGTAAGATTGAGCCAATACTCATAGAAGTGGAGATCTCGAGTTTCCTTTTGATGAGTAATAAAGATAGATGTGAGAAAACAGGAGCAAGGGAGATCCATGGGATCACATGCCATGGAGCAATGACCCAGATGTTAAAAGGTCCTAGTGATTAAATCATTCACAAATGAATGGACCAGTGCTTCAAGGTCAATGCTTTGTGTCCCAGATACATTGTCACAGGCAGCGTGACTTTTTTTTTTTTTTTTTTTTTTTTTTTTTTTGGCTGTCAACTTTGCTTCTGTTGATTTTCTCCTTTATTGGAAGAGAATCAAGTGCAGGGAGGTGCTTTAGAGGATGGTGCAGTCATTGAATGTACCTAAAATACCCTTGAGACATCCATAGATACATTATCTCTTTTTCTCTCAAAAAAAGTCTTTGTCAAACGGAGAATTTTCTGAGTAAGGATAAACTACTTTTAGCATTACTTTTTAACACTAGTTTTTAGTAGTGTAAGAGACCATGGCACTGCCCACTTCTGCCATTAAACAGATTAGGAAAAATAAAAACTGAACACACAGATCTCATGAGGCGATTGAGTCATTTCTCTACACCTCTGATGACAAATCTTCAGTGTAACTTCATACTTTTCTAGAACTTTGTGGATTCCATGAATACAAACTGTCTTACAAGTTAAATATAATGTACTTTCCTTCCCAAAAGTTCTCAGAACTACAGGATGTCAAGTAGAAGGGATTTTTAATTCATCTAGTCTCCTCTAGCCAGCGTTAAGTCTTCCTACAATAATGTGGATAAGTCAAGCCAAAGAATTATTAGCCCAAATCACTTTATGTATATTTCCTATATCATCTACTTTGTCACACTCAATAAAAACTGAAGATCACACTAGAGCAGAAACAAAGATTTAAAGATAATTCTAACCTTGTCTGGACACAGTTCAGGGCAGAAAACTATGATTGAAAGAGAGGAATAAGAGAAAGCAGAGGAGTAGCTGTCCCAGAGAGGAAGTTATGGAAAGAAAGGAGACTCAGCAGAAGAAAGGGATGTTTGGCCACAACAACCAAAGGTGAGTGAAAGAAGCTCAGCACTTAAAAGTGCTTGAGAGTGAATTTCTTGAAAATTATTGCATGGGAACCACTCTATCCAATAGTCTGGGACACTTGTACATTCCCTGAACTGAGAGTAAAGACATTAATGCCTTGTATTAAGGTGGCAATTTGAAGAGAAATAACTCTGTCCAAAGTGGGTAGAAATTAATAATACTATTTGAACAACTTCCTAGGAGAAGCAACTGTGGACACGTCGCCACATTTTCAAACACATATATATTTTTTCATAGTTGGATTTGTATTGTATATAGAGTCTATGTACATTTTTGAACATAATAAACATTTTTTCACCATTAAAATTTCTTAGAAAACAGTATGCTTAGTGGCCATATAACATTCTATCTCATCAGTTACTACAACTATCCCCTTATTTGGCTATTAACAAAAATAAAAGAATAAACATTTTAATACAAAAATACTGGCCATATTTTCAGAATATTTACGCAAGGTAGAGTTTGGGAAACTTAATTACTGGATGGGAGAGAACATAGAATTTTATAACTTTTCCTTTTGCATTTATATTTTATGACTTGTTTTTGATCATTTTCTTTTTTTCTCTCTATATATTTTTTATTATACTTTAAGTTCTACGGTACATGTGCACAATGTGCAGGTTTGTTACATATGTATACATGCGCCATGGTGGTGTGTTGCACCCGTTAACTTGTCATTTACATTAGGTATATCTCCTAATGCTATCCCTCCCCACTCCCCTCATCCCACAACAGGCCTCACAATGCCTATTGCCAAGATGCTTTCTAAAAGGGTCTGATGAAATTCTCCTTCCTCCACTGCTAATGTGAATGACCTTATTGCACATCATATGACCTTATGTTTATGACCTTAACATAAACATTAACACTTTCTTTTAATATTGTTTATTTGTAAATCAAACTGATGATTATTTTAGTTTTAACTTGTATTCCTTTATGTATTCACAAGATTGAGCAGTTTTTATATGTATATTATCTATCTATATAGAGAGATAGATATCTCTTTTCTGACATGCCTATTTCTGTACTAAAACTTATTGATTTGTCTGAGTATATCATATATGATAAAAATTCTTTGCCTATTTTTTGTTATAAATATTGTCTTATTTGTTGTTCAAACTTTATGATACTTTTTCACTAAAGAGTTGTCTATTCCTTGATATTTTTTCTTTTTGATTCTTTCTATTATTTATGGAGACCAAACGAATAAATTCCTAAATAATCCTTACTCACACAGAGATCAAATAAATAAATACCTAAATTAAATTAGAGTTTTCACTTTTTTGTCATTTTATAGCTTGGAAAAGTTTTGGTGTATCACAGTTACTATTGCTGTATAACAAAAACTCCCCAGGGAAACTCATCTCTGCTCCACATAGCATCAGCTGGGGCAGTGGGGCAGATAAGGAGATGCACCACAAAGATCCTCCCCTTTCAAGGAAAAACTTGCTGTCCAGCTGTGGGGTGTGTGGGGTGTATGGTTAGCAGACACTTCTAGCTGTCAGCCCTTTCGGGATCTGTCTTAGATGCAGAGAGCTGCTTCATCTGGAGGTCACATCCTTTCCAGGGCAGCTCTCATCTGATGACTGAGCAAGGCAGGAATACAAAGTTCTGCTCATTCTAACCTGACACTGAACAAATTCGATGGGCAAAATCCACTGCAGAGCTTCATAGCTGGTTGGCAAGGGCTTTGTCAGACCTTCATTACGATTTAGATTTTTCCTCTGCTCGGTCCTGCGTTTCCTCTTTCTTTCACAGATGTTGATTTCTCCTACCCACTTGTATTACCCACTCCATCTCAGTGTTTGCTTCTGGAGAGCCTAACCCGAAGTAGGCAGCTTGACTGGGTGCTGGAAAATCCTCTTTCAAGATGGCTTACTCCTATGACTGACAAATGGGGGCAGCTGGCCTCTGAGAGCTCAGATGGAGCTATGGACTGAGAGTTCCCATTTTTCTTGATGTGGGTCTTTTTACAAGATGTTTGGGCTTCCTCATGGCAGGGTAATTGGTTTTTATAATGGTCAATTTGAAAATGTATATCTTTTATGAAGTACAAGGTTGAAATATTTCTCATCTACATATCAGTTATATTGCTCAAAATCTCTATTTCCTTACATTTTTAGATTGCCTTGTATAAAATGGGGAATTTCCACTTCTCAGTTTTAGAATATATTTGATGTGCACATTCTCCTCTAATGAAATGCCTTTTGTGACAAACTGAGTTTACACACCATTATAAAGCTATGGCAAAACTCTGTTTGCTTTAGTTTTCCCCAGTTGCATATTTTATTTAAAATTCTTTACTGTATTAGACAATAGTCTTAATGAGTTAATAAAAGAGAAATAATCTTTTTATTTCATTTCCTATTTAATACTCAACATGAATTATCCAAAATAGGTATATGAATTTTTTCAATCATTACAGATCTTTGAAATCCCATAGCATGTGTAACTGAAATCTAATGAATATTCAGCAAAAGAGGTGCACACAGTTTGACAGGATGGGAATACCACTCCTAATGCTACCAGAGTATTACAAGGACAGGAATTCAGTCACTCTTCTTCACATGGGAATAGTTCCCCAGGATGGTGGTTGTCATTTCATCATGGTTAGAACACAAAGGATACTTCATCTGCATTGTAACCAATATTATACTTGGGAATTTGAGATCTGAGCTTGTGAATGCTGCCATTATTTAGAAAGAGACTTAATTGGCACAATATTTTCAGGAATCTTGCAGGAAAAATTCACAAAATTGAAATATTAGTTGAGTTTTATTTCTTTAGCTCACAATATATTCAGGTTATCTCATTTAGGTATGTCATTTAACATGAGATGTACTCCAAGCATAAACCTTGCCTACTATTCTCCTTTTTAACATATCCTTGGGAAAATGCTCAGTTTTTAAAAGCACCATATTACTGACTCATGGGAGCTCTTATAATTCATGATGACTTTTCCATGTTTCCCTGAGGTTCTTGGATCTAGCTCCTTATTACTCATTTTACATTTATACAATGTGATTTTTGTTCTTTGAGTGTACCAGAGAATGTCTTTATATTCGTTTCTTGCTTATCAAGGTCTTTTGAATTTTGTTTTCCGTCTCCAGGGGGCTGGTGCTTCTGCCCACCACCACCCCTACACTCCACCATACCTTATCATCAAGATGTTCTTGCATTTAAAACTTAATGAAGGTACTTACTTACTTGGGCATCAGCCTAATAATGTCTTTAGAGTACCTGCTGAGTACACAGAGCAGCACTCAAGTTGGAGGAGCATGCAAAGGAAACAAAGGATATAGCTCTGCTCTTCAGAAGACTATACTTGAGATGAAGAGAATGATAGACAGAAACTGAAGTATATTTTCCCAAGGCAACGTCTTCCATTATTTCCTAGTGCAGATTCCAAGTGAAAACTGAGTATACATTATATTCTAAAACATTATTGATATCATGTGATTTGTCAGAGCAGGTTATAATGCATGTTACTGATGTGGGTGATGTGGGTGTTGAAATTGGAGCAGGATGATTTCCTTTTTGAAAAACTACTTATCAAGCCCTGTTTCATTTTGACTTTGAACAATGAGTTGCAATTCTTCTTGTATAAAGCCCACACAATTGCACATCTATAAAATTGTTCTTCAAGATTCTCTTATGCTATGGTAAATATGCAAAATGTATGTCTTCAAAGTGGGTAAGTTAAGAGGAATCAAGTAACAAAAATTAATTGTGAAAATTTCCTTATAATAGCCTGTATACTAGGATAAATTACATAATATTGAGACATTCTGCTTAACTGTAATTTAGACATCCTAAATGGTTAAAAAAAATCCTCTAACAGTGCTTGCCCTGCTTAGTCTCACTGATATTGCCTCCTGCAGCTCAAAAGTCAAAGGCTATAGCTGCATGAAGATCAGAGCATCTTCATATGTCAACTCAGTTAAAGATTTAGTCTCTAACTTAGTTAACTCCAAGGCTATTTAGTTTGGAGTTTGGAACTGTTTGCAACTGTAAAACAGGGGCCAGCCAGATCTTCTCACTGGATTATATGTAACATGGCAGTTTGTCAATAAAGAGTTCTGTAGCCCATGTAAGTTTGGAAATGCTGGATAAAATATTTTACCATTAGAGAACGACAAACTTCAGCATTTAAGCCTCTAATAAGTATCTCAGTTAAAACTAAAACAGTTTGACTCTGTTAGACACAGAATTTCCCAAACCTCCTTGACCACAGAACTCCATTTCATATAAAACCTACTGAAATGCTGCAGAAATAGACTTCTGCAGAACACACATGAGGAAATACTGATCCATCAAACACCCCCTTGACCACTTAAAAAATACTTAGTAAGCATCTTCTTCATAAAGTTAGCACTTTTCATCTATGCCATGAAGGCAGTAAAGATGAGCTAGGCATCACATCTATCTTCAAGAAACTTTCAAAGAAGTAGAGAAAATGTGAGATTAAAAGCTAACTGCATTTCCAAGCAGAAAGAGTTCAGTGCTATGGTAGAGTCCAAAAGAACATGCAATTGGATTCCAAAGAAGTAAAGAAGACAAATGAGATCAGAGAAAGCTTGAAAGAGAGTGTACAGTTAGAGGTCTGGCTTCAATGACAGGTGAAGTGTTGCTATATAGGGTCAGGAAGGTTACATTACATGGAGAGTGTGCCAAGGGAGAAGAGCCCAGAAGTGCTGGGAAGTGTTGAGGAACAGGTGCACTGCACTGTGCACAGAAAGGCATAGAGTGGAAAACTAAGCCAAGTTAAAGCCAAATTTGTTCCAGCCCTTAACTTTCATATACTATATAGTAGTGACTACTGGGAATAGCAATACAACTTAAAACAAGACCAACAGTATAATCATAGTAGGTCAATAAGTAAATCAGGATTTCCAATACATTTTGGCAAGGTTTTATAACAGGAAAAAGACAAAAATCTTTAAGAGCACAGAACATTAGTACCAAACATAGTCAAGTAATGCATCCTAGAGAATTCATAGTTGAAATAGGGAATGCAGAACTTTATTCTCTTCACCATGGGGAGCCATATAAGTTGTTTTTGTTTTTAACGGGGGCCATTGGATCAGATCTCTCTTTTCAGGAGATAACTCAGAGGCAATATGAAAGACAGATTGAAAGAACAAACAGGAGGCAAGAGAACAAGTTAGAAAGCAATGGTAAAGGTTATTAAGCACCAAACTTTAAGAACAGTCAGCAATGGAGGAGAGGAAATGGATATTTAAAAAAAACTCAACGTGTCCTAATGACCAGTTAGAGGCAGAATTACAGAAGAGGGAAGAGGAAAGACATTTTCCTAATTTCCCATGATGATATAATCCATTAAAGAGCTAATTTTATTTCTACAGCTACTTTGGAACAAGATATCAGTAGACATAGAATATAAATGTACAAAAGATGCAGAAATCATCTTCATTAAGAGACACATTGTCTCCACACACACATGTGTGCACAAACAGGCATACACACTCTTCTTTATAAACAGTACCCTAATCAGAGTAGCCAGTGTGATCATGTTGAAGCAGAAGTCAACAGTATGGTGATTTCAGTGAAATTTTCTAAGAAGTTTTATTATCCCTAACCTTTCACAGAAAACCCATGAAGCTCACTAGACATCATTACTTAAGAATCCTTTCCTTGCAAATACCATCAATTCATCACTGTCCAGTCATTGCTGCTCTGTTTGATTTTGTGAGCATCCTAGCTTTGTAGAATCTATTGTCATGTTCTCATTTTCGCCCCTTCTTTCTTCACTCATTTTTTTCTCTTAAATATATTCAAATTTAGATTTTTGTAATCTTTTGGATACAAATCATTTTTTCATTCTACTCTAATAATCATGACTATTAATTCATTCAGTGAATATTTGTTATTATGATTCACTAGAAATATAAATTTTGTCTATTTTACAATTTTCTTTTGGAATCACACTTACTTGCTTAATTATATATAAATTGTTCTTTTAGGATATTGTGGGTCAGAAATCTGTCAAAATAAGAATTACATGAGTTAATTATTGTAAGACAGTCTCTGGCTAATAATAAAAAGTCCTTACATCTTAGACACCTCCTGTTCAAGAATGTACTAAGCAACTAAGCAACGCTTCAGCCCTCTGCAAAAAATGGGGTTTCCTTCTCTACCCATATATCTAGGACACCAATGACTGGAAATACCAGCTGGTAAATATCCAGATAAAAGCAGACTACTGAATAATAATAACTATTAGCAATACTGTAACAATATGGAAATATGAATTTGTATTTTATGATGAAAGAAATATGGGTTCCAGTCTGACCTTTTCACATCTTAGGCATTGGCCATTAGACAGTCTCAAAAAAACGGATAACAGTGTCCTTGGAATGGAGGTAGGTAGCTGAGCTGATTAGAAAATATGTATTAGTCCTTCCCTTTTGTAGTATGTTTGCCCTGAGTCCCAGAGCCATGTTCAGTCCAGTTCAGACTGTAGATTAGGCTCTCCCTGCTAAAAATATTAAAGTCTTTTTAAGCATTAAAAATCTTCAGTGCCATGTTATTGGCCTGTTTCCACTTACTAAGAAGAATATATATTTATTTATTATTTTCCTCTATAAAGTGGCCTACTTACCAGTAATAAGTTCCCCAGAGCTGCAAAATTTCAAGTTGTGGGCGGATGATCAGTATCAGCAGTGTTACAAAAGGAATTCCTGTATTATGCAATGAATTTTATTTAACGACTGCTAAGATCCCATTTGTTGTATGATTCTATCATCTATATTGTTTCTGGAAATTCAGAAACTTCTATTTTTCTCTCCCTAGGTTGCAACTCTTTTCTCACTCAGAAGTTTAGACCCCACAACTTTTCACCCTACATTCTTCACTAGACACAGATCCTCACTCCCATTACGTATACTTTTAATAAGTACACATTTGTCCTTTACTGAATTATTTCCTTAAATCAACCTTTCTAGATCATGAGCTATAATGTTAAATTTTTAATGTTCTTAATATTTTTCTATTGCCTTGGAATTTTTCACTCTAATATAATTCCATCTCATGAGAACCACGGGATAATGTGAGCAACATGGTGAGACATACTGGGAACTCTGCCAGGCAGACTGAAGGGACTAACTGGTTTTGAGAATAACTAACTAGCATGAAGGAAAAAGTCACGACAAAATTTAGCTTACTTCTAACAGCATCATAGGATATTATCTGAGTGTAAGTCTGGAGATACAAAGTAATAAACAATATCCAAAAGTGGGTAAATATTATTACCTCAATTATGAAAAATATGTTTTCTCTGAACAAGACCTCAGCTAGCAGCACAAAGTAAAACAAATGAGATTCATTTCAATGGCAAGCATCAAGAAATGTGTTGAGACCATAGCCAAAAGTGAATGGCTCTCACCTTAGCTGGAAACCAAGGCAGGTGTCCCAGTGCAGGTATGGCAATCCAGGGAGACACTGAGATCTGCTGGGCATAGGGCTATACCAGAGTCACCCTAGATGCCACAAATATTGTCTATCATAATTCCAATCAAGCAGCTCAAGCTTATCATGCACTCCCTGCCCTAGTAGAATTGACATGGGGCATTGCTCATGCCTGGGCCTGAGATGAAGAACATGTGACTACAGCTTTGCAGGAATGTTAAAAAAAAATGGATTGAAAGTCTGTCCTATAATTTCACATGTTTGCCAAAATCAGGTTTTTAAGCCTTTTTTTATTCGTTTTTCAGCATTTTTCCAGGCCTTCTCTTAGAATCCCTTATTCTGCCAATTCATGATTGCTTATGTGAAGATTTTGTTCCAATTTTAAATCCGCAAGCATTTCTCTGTTTGAGAAAATGAAGTTAAGAATGACATCTGTTCTGGTTGGCACTTCTACGTGGTCTTTGCTCCACTACAGGAATTTACTGACAGGGCTTGTGACCTGCAGTATTGATTTTCCACATATGTTCCTATGGTAAAAAGGCTCTCATCAGCACCAAGTCCTATACCTAGGAAGTTTCAACAATCTTCTCTGAAAAGGCTGGCTCATTTTTCTCCCTTTTTCATTTCAGACTGAAACTCCAACTATGAAGTTTCTTTTTCTTTCTTCTCTTTCCTACAAAAAGCGGGATTCTCTAAACATATTTCTCTAGCCTTGATAGAAAATATCATATTAGTAAAGATTTATATTCTTTTTTAAATGAAACATTTCAGTAAACCTTCCATTTTTGGACACTGATGAAACTTTAGACTGCACATTGCTTATTAAATACTTTTTACATAAAAATGTATTATTATTCTCCTAAAATTACTGGTGGTGCATTTAACCTCTTAACCTCTGTTTTGTTATCTATAAAATGGGAATTTTGTAGTAGTGTGGCATTTGTGTAGCACCTATCTCAGAGGTGGTGTGAGCATTAAATGAAATAATGTAGGTAAAAGGGCTTAGCTGTCTATAATCTATGCTATTAACATTAGATTGATTAGGTGTGTTTTTCTAATGGATAAACTAATTGGTTTTTCTCACCCTGGTTCCCCTTTCCAAGTGGAGCATGAGGATAGGTTTACCAACCCAGTGTGACTCTGAGATACTGAATGAGCATGAGAAAGTGACACTTCATGACTGAAATTTGGAAGCTTCTCGTGTGGAGCTAAAAACCCAAGCCACCTTTTACAGTGTTGCAACCTCAGTCCCAAGCAGCCTAAACTAAGAAGAGCAAGCCAAAATGAGAAGCCAAGAAAAGGATAGAAAAACAGGATGCTGATGGGTCTGCACTTTAGAGAGAACGGTGTGTGCTAAGCCCAGGAGGAAATAGATGATCTTCTGATGTAATTCCTGCTCAGAAGTGAACATTTGCTCCATGCCATTTCTGCCACCAACACTGAAAAATTAGAAAAATACCTTGGATCTCTTCATTATACAGAAACAATAGTGCAAATTTGTGTGACCTAGACTGGAATAGACCAAGGTTACATTCTGAGCTAAGCCCAATTCTTAGAAATATAACTCTTTCATCTTTAATTTTCTATTTCATTTGAGCAAAACGGTTGGAGATTTCAGAAGCACTCAGCAGGACTGAGGATTGTTGATGAATTTCAAGGTTTTGTTGAATACTTTAAATTGCAACTAATTATAAGTCATTGTTTAGAAATTGTTATACAACACCATTTTTGTAATTGATTTGTATAAACAGATATCGCATTGCATTATGTTTGGTTTTTGTGGTCTGTAAATTCTTTAATTGCCACTACATTTTTCAAAGATCTCACCTATGACATTAACATCAACTTACCCATACTATGGTTTATAGTCTAAAATCTGCTCCATATATATATATATATATATATATATATATATATATATATATAGCCATCTAATTTGACTGTTTTTATTCCCCACATCACCCATGCATGAACATAAATACAGCAAGATTATTTTACTAATTGGCTGGAAAATCAAGATCAGAACCAGACAAACATATCGAATCTTTTTTCTAAAACACAGTTATTTTCTTACATTTTATATCACCCATAATATGGGAAAAATGGAATATAAATCCACTCAAATACTTATCCCATTATATCACAAATGCCTCTCTTTTGTGCACAGTCTCTGCTACCCTTTGAGATCTTTGAAAATAAAAAGTCTTAGTCCCCAGGCCTAGCATCATGCCTGGCACTTAGTCATTACTCAACAAATGACTCAGTAAATTGAGAATGCAGTAGGGTCAAAATTGCTTCCAAACCATGAAACATCATTTAAGTATTTTAAATTTGAAACTATAATATAAACTCTAGAATTGGCATAAAATCGTGTTATTTATCTTATATTTGTATTCTTACATTATATATACCTAAACAGAAAAAAAAAATTTACTGGTGAATATAGTTGAAAAGAAGAGACCTATCAATCTTTAAAGTATCTAAAGAAATTTACATTTTTCATACTTTCATCTTTTTTCATAAAAAGTATCTCAAACAAGATTAGATATAAAGCACAGATAATCCAAAGATAGCCTTGCTATTCTCTTGCTGGGTACAGACAATGATGCCAAGAAATATAGAAGAAATAGAATCTTCCTGTTGATATATCAACCCAGTTTCAAGTGCATTTTTAAAAAGGAATCACTGCAGAGAGAAATAAATCAATGCTTTTCAGGTGAAAATTTGTTTCACCAGAATTGAATTAGATTAGAATGGAACTCAAAATGCCGTAATATAGATTTCCGGCACTTAGCACTAGATTGGCCAGAAAATTTGTTTCTTCATGGAGGAAGAAAAATGGGCCTTTAAAAATGTGTTTAAACAATTATTGAGACTACTGTCCCTTTGTGTATCTTCTGTGACTGAAAGTGGTAAAGCTGACAGCAATGTTTCCACACACCAGTCAGGGCTGCCTGTTTGGCTAGACAGAAAATTTTCCCCCATGAGGAGCTCCAAAGAGCCTCCCAGATTATGTCTGCACTGTAAACCAAATAGATCTAATCGATATTTACAGAACATTTCATCCAAGAGTTGCAGAATACACATTCTTTTCCTTGCACATGGATCATTGTCAAAGATAGACCATATTTTACTCAAAAAATAAAATAATATCAAGCATCTTCTCTGACCACAGTGGAATAAAATTAGAAATTAATAACGATAAATTTTGGAAACTATACAAATACATGGAATCTAAACAATGTGCTCCTGAATGACCAGTGGCTGAGCAAAAAAAAAATAAGAAATAAATTGAAAATTTTATTGAAATAGGTGATAACAGAAACACAACATACCAAAACCTAGGGGACACAGCAAAAGCAGTACTACAGGGAAGTTAATATCTATAAGTGCCTACATCAGAAAAGAAAAAAAGCTTCAAATGAACAATCTAATGATGCATCTTAAAGAACTGGAAAAGCAAGAGCAAACCAAACCCCAAATTAGTACAAGAAAATAAATAATAAAAATCAGAGCAGAAATCAATGAAATTGAAATGAGAAAAAAATACAAAAGATCAATAAAACAAGCTGGTTTTTTGAAAAGTTTAACAAAATTGACAAACCTTTAGTCAGACTAAGAAAAAAAGAGAAGATCCAAGTAAATAAAATCAGAAATGAAAAAGATGACATTACAACTGATACTGCAGAAATTCAAAGGCTCATAGTGGCTACTATGAGCAACTATATGCCAATAAAGTGTAAAATCTATAAGAAATGGACAAATTCCTAGGTGCATACAACTTACCAAAAGAACCAGGAATAAAATATAAACCCTAAAAAAAACAGTAACAAGAAATGAGATCAAAGCCATGATAAAGTCTCCCAGTAAAGAAAAGCTTGAGACCTGATGGTTTCACTGCTAAATTCTACCAAACATTTAAAGAAGAAGTAATAGCAATCCTACTCAAAGTAGTCTAAAAAATAAAGGAGGAGTACTAATTCTATGAGGCCAGTATTACCCTGATACTAAAACCAGATAAAGACACATCAAAGAAAAAAAACTACAGGCCAATATTGCTAATGAACATTGATGCAAAAATTCTCAACAAAATACTAGCAAACCTAATTCAGCAACACATTATAAAGATCATTCATCATGACAAAGTGGGATTTATCCTTGGGATTCAAGGATAGTTCAACATACGCAAATCAATCAATGTGTTACAATACATCATATCAGAATGAATCAACATACAATTATTTCAATTGACGCTGGAAAAGCATTTGATAAAATTCAGCAATTCTTCATAAAGCAAAAACTCTCAAAAAACTGGGGATAGAAGGAACATACTTCAACATATTAAAAGCCATACATGACAGACCCACAGCTAGTATCATACTGAATGGGGAAAAACTAAAAGACTTTTCTTTAAGATCTGGACCATGACAAGGATGCCCACTGTCACCATTGTTATACAACAAACTACTGGAAGTCCTAGCTAGAGCAATCAGAGAAGAGAAAAATATAACAGGCATTCAAATTGAAAAGGAAGAACTCAAATAATCCTTGTTTGCAGATGATATGATCTTATATTTGGGAAAACCTAAAGACTCCACAAGAAAACTATTAGTACTGATAAGTAAATTCAGTAAAGTTTCAGAATACAAAATCAATATACAAAAATCAGCAGCAATCAGATCAATGTGAAATCAGAACAATGTGAAAAAGAAATTTGAAAGTAATAACATTTATAATAGCCACACATAAAATTAAATACCTAGGAATTAATCAAATAAGTGAAAGATCTATATAATGAAATCTATAAAACACTGATGAAAGAAATTGAAGAGGACACCAAAAATGGAAAGACAGTCCATGTTCATGGTTTGGAAGAAAAAATATCATTGAGATGTCCACACTACCCAAAGCAATCTACAAATCAATTCAATCCCTATCAAAATACCAATGACATTCTTCACAGAAAAAAAAAAAACAGTCCTAAGATTTACATGGAACCATAAAGACACAGAATAGCCAAGGCTATCCTAAGCCAAAAGAACAAAACTGGAGGAATTATGTTACCTGACTTTGAAATATACTACAGAGCTTTAGTAAACAAAACAGCATGATACTGGCATAAGAACAGATGCATAGACCAATGGAACAGAATAGAGAACCCAGAAACAAATCCATACCCCTACAGTTAACTTATTTTTTATAAAGGTGCCAATAACATACACCGGGGAAAAGACAGTCTCTTCAATAAATGCTGTGGGGAAAACTGGATATCCATATGCAGAAGAATAAAACTAGGCCCTTATCACTTGCCATATACAAAAAACAAATCAAAATGGATTAATGACTTAACTCTAAGACCTCAAGCCATGAAACTACTACAAGAACACATTGGGAAAAATCTTCAGGACATTGGCCTGGGTAAAGATGTCTTGAGCAATACCCCATAAGCACCGTCAACCAAAGCAAAAAAATGGACAAATGGAAAGACATCAAGTTAAAAAGCTTCTGCACAGCAAAGCATACAATCAAAAAAGTGAAGAGCCAACCACAGAATGGGAGAAAATATTTGCAAACTACACCTCTAACAAGAGATTATTAACCAAAATATATAAGGAGCTCAAACAATTCTAGGAAAAAAAATCTAATACTCCAGTCAAAATAGTGACAAAAGATTTGAATAGGCATTTCTCAAAAGAAGACATATAAATGACAAACTGGCATATGAAAAGGTGCTCAACATCTTTGATCATCAGAGAAATGCAAATCAAAAGTACAATGAGATATCATCTCACCTTAGTTAAAATGCCTTATATCCAAAAGGCAGACAATAACAAATGCTGTCGAGGATGTGGAGAAAAGGGGACTTTTGTACACTGCTGATGGGACTGTACAACCACTATGGAGAACAGTTTGGAGGTTCCTCAAAAAACTACAAATTAAGCTGCCATATGATCCAGCAATCTCATTTCTGGGTATGTACCAAAAAGAAAGGAAATCAGTATATCGATGAGATGTTGGCACTCCTGTGTTTGTTGCAGCATTGTTTACAATAGCTAAGATTTGGAAGCAACCCAAGTGTCCATAAACAAATGGATAAAGCAAATGTGATACATGTATACAATTGAGTACGAATTCAGTCATAAAAAAGAATGAGATCCAGTTATTTGCAACAAAATGGATAGAACTGGAAATCATTATGTTAAGTGAAATAAGCCAGGCACAGAAAGGCAAACTGCGTATTCTCACTTATTTGAGGGATCTAAAAATCAAAACAATTGAATTCATGGACATAGTAAGTAGAAGAATGGTTACCCGAGGCTGGGAAAAGTAGTGAGGGGCTGAGGGTATGTGGGGATGGTTAATGGGTTCAAAGAAATAGAAAGAATAAGACCTACTATTTGATAGCACAAGAAGATGCCTATAGTCAATAATAACTTAATTGTACATTTTAAAATAACTTAAATAGTGTAATTGAATTGTTTGTAACTCTGAAGGATAAATGCTTGAGGGGATGGATATTCCATTTTTCATAATGTGCTTATTTCACATTGCATGCCTGTATCAGACCATCTCATACACCACATAAATATATACACCTACTATGTACCCACAAAGTTTTTTAACAAAGTAAAATAAATAAATTATTCACATTTTAAATTAGCTTAAATAAATAAATTTTAGAATGTTTTTCTTTTTTTATAAAGAATATCATTGATATTTTGATATGGATTGCATTGAATATGTAAATTGATTTGGATAGTATTGTCATTTTAGCAATATTAATTATTTTAATACATGATTATGGAATATCTTTTTATTTTTTGTGTGTCTTCTTCTATTTCATCAGTTTTATAGTTTTTATTGTGTAGATCTTTTACTTCTGCAGTTAGATTGATTCCTGGGTATTTTATATTTTTGTAGCTATTGTAAATGGGATTGTTTTCCTCATTTCTTTTTCAGATTATTTGATGTTGACATATATAAATGCTACTTATTTTTATATGTTAATTTTGTATCCTGCAACTTTATTGAATTCCTTTATCAGTTCTAATAGCTGTTTGGTGGAGTCTTAAGGTTTTTCTAAGTATAATATGATCATGCTGTCTGTGAACAAGGCTAATTTGACTTTTTTTCCAGTTTGGATGTCCTTTATTTCTTTCTCTTACCTAATTACTCTGGCTAGGACTTTTCAGTATTGTATTGAATAATAGTGGTAAAAGTGGGCATCCTTGTCTTGTTCTAGTCTTTAGAGAAAAGGCCTTCAATTTTTCCGTTTAGTACAATGGTAGACACGGGTTTGTCATATATGGCCCTTATTATTTTGGGGCATGTTCCTCCTATACCTGTTTGATGAGAGATTTCATCATAAAGGGATGCTGAATTTCATCATATGCTCTTTTCACATCTATTGAAATAATCATATGTTTTTTTTCTTGTTTCTGGTAATGTGATATATCACACTTATTGATTTGCTTATGTTAAACTGTCCTTGCATCTCTGGGATGAATCCCACTTGACCATGGTTGTTGAATTCAGTTTGTTAGTATTTTGTTGAGGATTTTTAACATTTCATATATTTATATTTGTATATATTTCTATTTTTTATATATTTATACATTTTATATATTTTTATATTTGTCAGTAATATTGGCCTGTAGCTTTCTCTGTTCTGTTGTGTCCTTGCCTGATTTTGGTATGAGGGTAATACTGGCCTTGCAGAATGAGTTTGGAAGTATTCCCTTTTCTAATTTTTTTGAAGAGTTTGAGTAGGATTGGTAATAACTCTTTAAATGTTTGGTAGGATTCAGAAGTGAATCCATGATGTCCTGGGCTTTTCTTTGATGGGAGGCTTTTTATTAATGCTTCAGTCTCATTACTTGTTGTTGGTTTGTTGGGGCTATTTCTTCATAGTTTAATCTTGGTAGACTGTATGTGTCCAGGAATTTACCCATTTATTCTGTTTTCCAATGTGTTGTCATATAGTTGTTCATAATAGTCTCTAATGATTCAGTGTTTTTTTTTTTGATATTTCAATTATGTTTTCTTTCTTATTTCTAATTGTATTTATTTGAGTTTTTTCTCTTTTTTCTTAAGTAATCTAGCTGAAGGTTTGTCCATTTTATCTTCAAAAAAACAACTTTTTGATGATCTTCTCTATTTTTTAGTCTCAATTTCATTTATTTCTGCTCTGATCTTTATTATTTCTTTCTTTCTACTAATTTGGGGTTTGGTTTGTTCTTGCTCTTCTGGATCTTTGAGGTGCATCATTAGGTTGTTTACTTGAAGTCTTTCTACTTTTCTTACATGAGACTTTATTGCTATAAGGTTCCCTCTTAGTACTGCTTTTGCTGTATCCCATAGATTTTGGTATGTTGTATTTCCATTTTTATTTGTTTCAAAAATTTGTTAAATTTACTTCTTAATTTCCTTATTGACCCATTGGTCATTCAGGAGCATGTTGTTTAATTTCCATGTGTTTGTGTATTTTCTGAGGCTCCTCTTGTTACTGATTTCTAGTTTTACTCCTTTGTGGTCAGAAAAGATACTTGAAGCTGGGCACAGTGGCTCACACCTGTAATTCTAGCATTTTGGTGGCCAAGGTGGGTGGATCACCTGAGGTCAGGAGTTCAAGACCAGTCTGATCAACATGGGAAACCTCGTCTCTACTAAAAACCCAAAAATTAGCTGGGTATTGTGGTACATGCCTGAAATCCCAGCCACTCGGGAGACTGAGGCAGGAGAATCGCTGGAACCCTGGAGGCGGAGGTTGCAGTGAGCCAAGACTGCACCACTGCACGCCAGCCTGGGTGCAGAGAAAGACTCCATCTCAAAAAAGAAAATAAAAAATTTAAAAAAAGAAAAGATACTTGATATAATTTCTGTTGTGGTGAAATTTGTGCAGACTTGTTTTGTGGATTGAGACATGGTTTATTCTGGAGAATGTCTCATGTGCTGATGAAAAGAACATGTATGCTGCAGCACTGGGTGAAATGTTCTATAAATGTCAATTAGGCCTATTAGATCTAGTGTGTAGTTTAACTCCACTATTCCTTGGTTGATTTGCTGTCTAGATTGAGAGTTGGGTATTAAAGTTCCCTACTATTATTCTATTGCAGTCTATCTCTCCGTTTAGATCTACTAATGTTTGCATTACATACTTGGGAGCTCTGCTGTTGGGTGCATAAAATATTTATAATTGTTATATCCTCCTGCTGAATTGATTCCTTAATTATTATATGGAAACCTCCCTTGTCTTTTTTTTTTTTTTTTACAGTCTTTGGTTTGTAGTCTATTTTATCTGATATATCTTCTGCTCTTTTTTGCTTTCCAATTGCATGCAATATATTTTTCTACCCCTTTCAGTCTATTGAGTCTTTATAGGTTAAGTAGGTTTCTTGGATCTTGTTTCCTTACACATTCAGCTACTGCACAACTTTTACTTGGAGAATTGAGACCATTTACATTTAGTGTTATTATTGATGAGTAAAGACTTGGTACTGCCATTATGCTGCCATTTTTCTGGTTGTTTTGAGACTCTTGTCTTCCTTTCTTAGTGTCTTCCTTTGTGGTTAAGTGATTATATATAGTAGTATGTTCTAATGTGTTGCTTTTTATTTTTACACTTTTTAACTTTAATCCTTTATTGTTAAATATGGGAGAATATGTATGATTTTATAATAACTCTTGTTTGGCTAATGTAAACAGAGTACTCTCTCTGTATTTACTTTCTTGGAATTATAGATTAATAAGATTACAATACTTCATGCAAAAAAATGTTTAAAAGATATATGCTCTAGAAAGAAATTGGTGAGAAAATTTTTATATGAAGTAATCAATATAGCAATCTATGTATACAGAATCTTAAACATAGGTCATTCTCCATACTAATTATTTGTTAAGTTCCAGCATATATAATGTTCATAATATAATAACTGGCATGTGGTCCCTTTCGTCAAGAAGGCTATACTCTTAATATTTAAGATACATAGACAGTTAAAAAAAAAAAAAAAGCAGCTGTATTTTTATGTTTGGCATGCTTTGCCTCCAAAGCACAGGTTTGGGCCTGGAGTCCTCTACACATTTCCTTCTTGTATGCTTAGTCACAGGGTCCAAGCTTCCTCAGCAATACATTCCTCTTTGTTACATGTGCTAGAACTCTGGTTATATTGACCAGTAGCCACCCTGGTTTGTTTAGCTCAATAATCAATAATGGCCACAAAATAGAAGACCTTGTAATTTCAGGGAAATGATTATATACAGAAGCTGGAAGAACATGTGGGATTATTAAGAGTCTCTCAGACATAGGAAATCTAAACAGAACTTCTCTATGGCTTTTCACAGTTTCTAGTTTTTCTGTTTTCAATAGCAGAAGCAACTGGACTCACATTAAATTTTTGCAAACAAACTTTTTCTGTTTGAGATAGCAACAAAAACTCTGTCTAGGCACAAAATTACTAATGGCCACTATTTTCTTGTGTTCTTAGTCTTTAGGCTAGGGTTTCCTTTAGGCTAGAGGAAAAAAAGAGGAGTGGGCTAAAAAGCTGGGAAATGATGGTAACAATTAGCTGGCCAATATTAACGTAAATCATTATAGTAGTGGCATTATTACATAAACAACTGCTGGTCCTTATTAATTCAGAATAAGTACCTTGTAATAATTTTGTCATTTTTATATATGCAAAAGTTTGCATATGATTGTTAAAAATATATTTTTATAAATAGAATATACTGTCAAAACCCCAATCATTATGCCAAAGTCAACATGCTTGTGATACAAAGTCTTATTTAAATGAATTTGTATTTATCAAATTATGAATAACTGAAGAATGCACACTCTAATCTTATGACCCATTGTATTGCAAGGAAAAATGCATTGGACAGTTAAACAGGCAAGGAAGACTTTATTCATGACTATTGCAATAGGGGAGAAAGATTGAGCTCAACTCCACCGAAACAAAAACGAGAGTGTTTAAGCGCTGGGGTGAGTTAGTGGAAAAGTACTGGAAGACATTGAAGAGGAGAGGTTGTCAATGTGATTAGACCATCTTTGCTAATTGGTGATTATGGAAATTAGCCTCCTTTCCCCACACAGAGTAGGAGACAGGGGCTCTATCTTCCTTGATGATTGCATTTCAAAGAGATGGCTCCTTGAGAAACATTTCTCGGTTCTAAAACTGGCAAGAGACTGGGGGAAGATTACATCTCAAAGGAACTGAGAAGGTATTTACAAATGCAAGTTTTCTAAAGTAAATGCTCCAAGAAAAGGGAGGTCAGGGGCCTACAGTCAGGAAGAAACATGTCTAAAGTTTAGTCAAGTGAGGGGAATGTTAAAGCCTTCTTGGTCAGTAGACAGAAATAGGAATCTGGAAAAATAAGCTGCAAATTGGGATGCCACATGAAGTAAATATTTGTGTAAAGCAAGGGCAACTTATAGATACTGTACATTAAAGTAATGGGTTGCTGTTGCAATTCTTTTATCAACAGCTCAGAAATTCTTTACAGCAATTTCTAAAAGATAGTTCAGGTGAAACTGTTGAAAGGGCAGTTGGAGGTCAAATTTGGTTCAACCAGAGACATAGAACAAGTAGGAGGTATATATTAAAGGAATTTTTGCAGGGGATTGGCTTATAGAAATGTAAGGGCCAACCAGGCAAGTCTGAAATCTATAGGGTAGGGTATCAGAAAAAGCAGGCTGAAAACTCTATGGCATGACCTGAAGCTGCAATACATAGGTAGAATTTCATCTTTTTTTAAATGTCTTAGTTCTATCTTAAGACCTTTCACTGACTGAGTCAGCCTACCCAGGTATCTAGGATAATTTCCCTTATGTAAAGTCAAATGATAGGCCAGATGTGGTGGTTCATGCCTGTAATCCTAGCACTTTCAGAGGCCAAGGCAGGCAGATTGCCTGAGCTCAGGAGCTCGAGACCACCCTGGGCAACATAGTGAAACCCTGTCTCTACTAAAATCCAAAAAAAAAATAGCCAGGAGTGGTGGCATGCACCTGTAGTCCCAGCTACTGGGGAGACTGAGGCACGAGAACTGCTTGAACCTGGGAGGCAGAGGTTGCAGTGAGTCGAGATGGCACCACCACACTCCAGCCTGGGTGACAGAGCGAGACACTGTCTCAAAAAAAAAAAAAAAGGTCAAATGATTATGAGAGTTAATCACAACTACAAAATACTTTCACAGCAACACCTAAACTAGTATTTGATTGAACAACTAGGGACCATAGCCTAGCCAAGTTAAGACAATATACTGATCATCACATAGGCTGAATTTAAGCACTATCATGCAGATGGAACAAAGGAATTAACAATACCAGTCAAAACAAAGCGGTTCATCATAAGAGTTCAATTAGTTTACATAGGTAGGAAAGTTTGAATATTTTAACCAATTAATTTTAGAATTTAAGGGCATATATGCCAAATGGTTTTTATTGATTCTAGGGATTTATTTCCCAGAAAAAAACTCATATATACACATATAAAAATATTGTAATATATAATATCTCTAATATATTCTTAATTATATTATATAATTATGATTTTTAAAAATATTTTTATTTGTGCAAATCTACAGGATAACCTAAATGTTCAGCACTTCACAATATTTTCATCTCTACTTTAACAACAAAAATATGTAGTATGATATTTTAAACAAAATCTTATTGTAAAAATGAAGAATGAGTAGCTGCTAAAACATCATGGGAAAAATGTTATCCACTTTTACTTTAGAACAGCATTCAAAACTACTGAACATTTTATAAGTGAATCAAATATAGATGTTTATATAGTCTTCAATAATCACACATTTCTTTAGTGCCAGCTCCTAATCATATTACAAGTTTTTCATGAGTTCAACTAAAATGTGACCATTTTTAAAATTTCATATTTTGCTTTGACAGTATAACTTTTAAGATTTCTGAGATGTAGAAATGTAGTTGACTTGATATTTTCTTTCACTTGTGCATGTCTTTAAATGTTAAAAACTAAAAACTATTGTTAGAGTAAGGAGGGCGGATCACGAGGTCAGGAGATCAAGACCATCCTGGCTAACACGGTGAAACTCAGTCTCTACTAAAAATACAAAAAAAATTAGCCAGGCGTGGCGGCAGGCGCCTGTAGTCCCGAAAAAAAAAAAAGAAAGAAAGAATAAGGATTCCAAGAAAGAAAAAAAATTAGCCAGGCATGGCGGCAGGCGCCTGTAGTCCCAAAAAAAAAAAAAAAGAAAGAAAGAAAGAATAAGGATTCCAAGAAAGAAAAAAAAATGTCTGTGTCCAAGAGCTTCTTCTCTTTCTCTTAGGCTGTATTATGCCAATATAATCAATCCCAAAATTCATAATCACATAGGCAACACTGACATCAGTGACTAGCCATTAACAAGAAAATCATTAAAAGATGTTATTTAATCAAATGCACTTAGCATGCAAAGTGTTATTCTGCATCTCCCGGTCTTTACTGCCTGTATCAGAATTCCTATCCAACTCATCCAAATTGAATATTTTCTAAGTTGAATTTTCATGAATCCTATTCTTTCCTCTTCTTGTCTAGATGTGAAAATTACCATTTGTCATGAGCTAAGGTTAGTCACATTTCTGATAAACAGAATTGGCACTTCGGTTAAGTGTTACTTCTGGCAAGCTCTTGCATTTTCATTTATATTATGTAGTCTAGAGCATTGCTAAACCCCTAGGTGTGCCCAGAGTAGGAGGAGAGGGGAGTTGAAAGCAATAGACACACACACACACACACACACACACACACACACACACACATTTATGGGGATAGTAAACTCCTGTGACTCTAGGAATGGAGTGAGAAAGAGATCAGGTTCATGTTAGATAGAGGCAAATAATCAGTCGTATGAAGGGGATGACAAAGACAGTCGTGAAGCTGAGGTAGCATTTATTCCAACACTCTAACTCATTGGAAAGTTGCCAGTGAAAACAAGGAAATTCATCTGAATCACTCTAAACCTCTTAGTGGAAATGTGCTATAAAAATTCAAGACAATGTTCCCATTATTAAAGCTTTATTGCTAACATTTCTCATTATGAATACAAAGTCAAGAAGAGGAAAAAAGGCTGGTAAAGAAATCGGATGGATAATGGGGAGGAAGGCTGACAATTATGATTCAGATAGGTAATGAATTTGGTAATGTCTAACCCATATAGTACAATAGAACTGTTATATTCTTTCTTAGATTGAGGGTAGTAACCATTTTTAATATAAATATAGGTATTTAAAATAAATTACTATCTCCAAGACTTGGATATTAAGTTTACCTTTCATAAAATATGTGCTACACTATTATATGTACAATTTCTATTTAAAGAGATATTACGAAGCATGCTTTACTCTGATATCTAAGCAAGTACAGCAAAAAAAGAAAAGACAACCTCATGTATCTGTCCATTGTACCCCACTGGAATTACAGTGTTTAGCAGATACTCTTCTTGCTATTAAACAAAACCTGTACAAGTATTAAAGTCAATAACTCAAATGTTTTGTTAGCAGATTTCATTTTGAACATATGAGGGCAATTTAAAAACCAAATAAAATAAAGAGAAATAAAATATCTTACAAGTACAAACCCATGCATGGCAACAATATGAAGACAGGAAAGTCTAAGGAAGAAAAACAGCCACAGTGGAGGAATTAAGACACTTGGGCTTCCCCGAGTGAAAATCTCCACTCAATCTCTATCCAAGCAGAATTTACTCATCTGTCATGCAGGCCCTGCCTCTTCCAAACAATCAGATGTTTTTGTTTTTGCTTTTTTTTTTTTTAAGTAGGTCTAAAGGGGAGAGAAAAATATCACTGGTAGCTAAGGACTCTGTCTGTAGCTAGCAAGATAACAATTTTGTGAATTTAAATTACCAACTTCCCAATTCATGCTTTTTCCTCTAGCAAAATATTTTCTGGTTACAAAATGAATAAAAGCTACATTATCACTCACCTACAGTAAATTTCCATTTCCAGGTCATTTTATGTCTAAGCAGGATATACTTGCTCATCAACGCACACTTTTTAAGAACTTTGTTGTAAATAGTAGGAGAGGCAGTGAATCAACTGAAAAGAGAAAAGGCATTGGAATCAAATTCTAGCTCAGCCACTTACAGTGGAGACATTGTACAAATATGTGGCCTCTCTTCTTATGGTAGAATTGATTATTACTTCATTTTCTTGTCTTAGTATTTTTTCAATATGTTCTTCAAAACACCCTGACCCCAGTTAGTGACCTCTCTGTCTCCCCACATCCTTTCCAACAGGACTTACAGCTCCTCCTCTCAAAAGGTGGAGTCTGTTCCCCCACCCTTTGAATCGGAACTGCCCTAGTGACTTACTACGGTCCGTAGAAGATGGTAGAACTGACAGCATTCTACTTCTAAACACAGGCCTTAAAAGGTCCTTGCACTTATGCAATCTCTCTCTCTTTCTCTTTCTCTGTGATTCTCTCTCTCTCTCCTCTCAGCTCCTCTGTAAGCACAAAGCCAGGCTAGCTTGAAGGAAGATGAGAAACCGTGTGGAAAAGAGCTAGGTAACCCAGCCAATAACTAACCAAACAACCTTCAGCTGACATAGATGCATAAGGGAGCCCAGCCAATATCAGAACACCTAGTGAGCACAGGCTACATTGTCAATGGGCAGAGTGAGTGGATAATTTGTTACATAGCAAGAACCAGCTGATACAGTTAGCCTCAGTCTCTTCAACTATGCTATGAAGACATTATTAGGTCCCTGTTAGAATCACATGAGAAAAATATATGTGAAGAACCTAAGCACTATACTTGGCCTATTAAAGGAATTCAGTAAATAGTAGCTTTTTATCATTTTTAAAACTAAGCCACTTACACTGTCTTCTGAGTAATCCTTTGCACCTCACTGCTGGGTGGTTGTTTGCAATTGACACAATTTAGGCCACCTCAAGTTATAAAGGAAAACAAAATAGCCCAGATAGATAACACCATGGCCTCTGGAGCATTGTGTTTAATTGGGCTAAGCTAACAGGTTCCAGATGGCTTTATGATTTAATACACAAACTATCAATTTTACATACCTAAGTTCTAAACACTGAATGTCTCAAATTGGGAATTCCTTCACCTCTGAGCCTTTGCACATGCTGTACCCTCTCTTGATAGCATTCTTTTTTCCCATCTCTCCCACAGCCTTCTGTAGTTAGTACCTTCTCATTTTAAACACTGTGTCCTCTAGGACACCTGTCCTTGTCCCCATGTCTGAATTAGGTCACTATTCTCTGTGCTTAGACTTCTATTTGTCAACCAATTGCAATTGCTTAGTGATCTTTGCACATTTCCACTAGATTATAAATTCTTTCTTAGTCACCATACCAGGTACTTAATAAATATTTGTTGAATAACAAAACAAGATTTTTTCATATTTCATACTGTCCTCAAAATACCGATATTCTACCTGCACATTTAATTTGTAACCTCTTCTTTATTCTGTTGTATAAATAGACTATCATACTTCTTACCTATTACTTCATTGTATTATCTTAGTTTTTCAATATGTTCTTTCAAAACACCCTGTTCTTCTTAAGTTTTGACATTGAATATTAGGGAGGCCAGGTAAAATTATGATAATATATAATGATGATTTTCACGTGAATGTAACAGTTATCTGGATTGTGAGTGGTTGTACAATTCGTACTGTTCATGCCTAAAACAGCTTAACTGACCCAGGCTTAATAACACAGATCAAATCAATCCTATGGAGTCATTTGGGTGGTCAGTTCTAAATTAAATCAGCTATTTGGGCAAAGAACTCATTGGCAATCAACGGTCTGACAGACTTAAATTTTTAATAAAGTAACTGAATGTTCTAGAAATAGGGTATAAAAATTAATCCTCATCTACAAGACCCAGAAGACTAAGTCACATAGTAAACTGATAGCAAAATTATATTTCAGGGCTTAAAAGTTTTGATTCGTTTTTTTGCATGAATATCAAATCATTAGTTACATTAGTAGTTATGTTGATTCAGTTATTCCTATCAAATGCATGGTCCAACTGCTTCTTTCATGTTTCTATCTGTTGTAATGGGTTTATATCACCACAAAGCCCTCTATGGCAGCAAACATGTTCTGCTATGTGTTCTAGTCTCTAGCCATATGGGCAAATAATAAACTCTTAGATGATGAGAGAATGCATGACTACCAATCTATCTCCCATTTAGCTACCCATTCTCTTACCCAACGCCGGCACAGACAAGCCTTCTTATCACAGGTAGGATGTAAAAACAACTTATTCAAAAATCTGTTATTTTTCTTCATTCCCCAGATCATCCAGCTTTGCTCTGCCACACCCATCCCTCATGACCCTAGTGTGAACTGCTACACACACCACCACTTGCCAAAACAGGGAAACATTTTCATTTTCATCCAGATCATTTAAAAATATATGAAATTAACAAATAATTGTATATATTTGATATGGTTTGGCTCTGTGTCCCAAATCTCATCTCAAATTGTAATCCCCATGTGTTGAGGAAGGAGAGTAATCAGATTATGAGGGCGGTTCCCCCATGCTGTTCTCATGACAGTGAGTGAGTTCTCATGAGAACTGATGGTTTTATAAGTGTTTGGATGGTTGTAAGTTTCCTGAGGCCTACCTAGCCATGGGAAAATGTGAGTCAATTAAACCTCTTTTGTTTACGAATTATCCAGTCTCAGGTATTTCTTTATAGCAGTGTGAAAACGAACTAATATGATGTTCAAGATGTACAGTGGGATTATTTGATATATTTATACATTGTGTACTGATTGCCACAGTCAAATTTATTAACATATCTATCACTACCCACAGTTACCAATTGTGTGTGTGTGCATGCGTGTGCAGTAAAAACACTTAACATATGCTTTCTTATGAAATTTCAAGGGAATGATACATTAGTATTATCTATAGTTACCATGCTGTACATTAGATCCTCAAAACAACCTTGGTCATTTTCAAGGTCATTATTCCCTCAATAAATATTTAGTTTCCAATGAACCAAGGTTCATAGATAAATAGAAAAATGTTAAGTAGATGATTGATAGATTGACAGGTAGATAAATATTGCATTTAAGGTTTAAGTTAGGGCTCTATGCATATTTCTATAATTTGTTTTGTGTACCTAGTTAAAATTTCATGTTATTCTAGTAAATATTAAAATGTTACATTTGATCCTGTCAAGCTCATGTTCTTTTTCGATTTTGACATATCATCTATTCTCAGTTTTATATCATATCCAAGTTTGATGGGTATGTCAAAAATCACTACATCAAATTGATGATCATGTTGAACACACACCAAAAAAGAAACTTTAATTTATGTTCCATAAGCTTCCAAGGATAAGTGCTAATCACCAAAGACAGAATTCACCTGTCATTGATTATCAGAGAAGATAGTGGTGTAAAAAAAAAAACAAAACATATACCTTGTCATTTCTATAAAGAATATATTTATTTATTTCAGGTAGATTAAAACTATATTATCAGTTCTATGTAGCAATATAACTCTACATTATTCAAAGCAATCAATGTTATTTTTAATGACACCTTCAATAAACAACACACCCCACACATCCTTCAAGGACAGTACCTGGAAATTCTGGAGAACTGCCTGCAAACCTGGAGTAGAGGATTTTTGGACTTCCTGAGTCTGAATGCTCAAAATATCAAATTCCTCAGGCCATTTTCCTGCTAAATTAGAGATTGCCAGGAAACAGGACCAAATATGTACTCATTTCAGAATATTCATAGTGTTTTTAGTGCTGCTTTTTTTTCCAACAAATATTTATTAAATTCTAACTGGGTTCTAAGCACAATATGTAGCGTGTTCGTCACTTAGAATATACACAAGTTTAAAAAACATATCCCCTGTCTTCAAGGTGATCTCAGGATAGTTAAAAAGATAGAATGGTATGTAAGCAAACAAATGCAATAGAGTATTGTGCAGATAAATACCCCCATAGCATAGGGAATGTACAAGGTTAAACTTATCAATTCCCCCAGAAAATACCAGAAAAGAATTTATAGAGACAGAAACACTTTAATCAAGTTCTAAATAATAGTAGCAATAACAGCACCAGCAACGGTTGTTGAAAGGTATTGTATCCTTTTGCTTATCTCATTTAATCCTCTAAAACTTTACATAGTAGGCATTTTTACCATCCCAACCTTAAAAATTCAAAATTGAGGAGCAGCATGATTAATTAACAGGTCTAGGGGCCTGTTGCTAGTAAATCAGGGAGCTGAGACTTGAAGTCAGAGTTTTCTAAGCTCCAGAGTTGGCATTCCTTTTCTTAATTAAAGTTTTAATTGACAAGTAATAACTATATATATTTATGGGATACAATGAGATGTTTTGATATAAGTTTACCTTGTAGAATGATTAAATCAGGAAAATTAACAAATCTACCACCTCATATATTTATTATGTTTGTGGTGAAAACATTTAAAATCTTCTTTTAGCAATTTTGAAATATACAATGCATTATTATATTTGCTAGAGTCACCATTCTGTGGATAGATCACTAAAACTTATTCCCCCTAACTGAAACTTTCTATTCTTTGATCATCTCACTTTTACCTATCTCTCCCCTCCCCCAGCCTCTGGTAACCACCATTCTACACTCTACTTCTATGAGTTCAAATTTTAGACTCCACTTATATAAATTAGATCATATGGCATTCTTCAGCATCCACCTATCAATGATATTTCAGATAACACATACGCTATAGGAGAAGAAAACTTAGGGAAAGATATTTGGGAAAAAAATAAAATCGGGGGAACTGAAACAGGTCAGAATGGCTACGATAACTTCTAGAGCAAAAGTAGAGAAATAATGAAAGAAGAGGCTACATAAGTGGGCAGAAACTAGATCATGATTGGCTTTTATTGCATGCAATATGACTCTAAATAATAAATAAAGAGGCCAATGGGTTAGAGGGGGTGAGAAAGACCCAAGAATTAGAGATAGTGCCAGATTTATGGTTTGGACACTGGGTGGGTGATAGTAATCCTAACAGAACATGGACTTTAACAAGGGAAACTGTTTTGTAGAATAAAGAACAAACAAGACCATATTGAATTTTGTGTCTCTGAGACATACAGAGTCAGTGCCTATAAAGCAGAAAGTATATTCGTTCGAGTTCAGGAAACACACTGAGCTCAGGGATGGACTTTACCCTCTGGGCCCTAAATGTGACTCACCCCCATGCAGATTGGAAATATGAAAGTTATGAAAAACATGCTTCAAGAAGAATGTACAAGTGGGGCAAGAATAAGGATCCCAGAAACATCACTATTTAGAATCAAGTAGAGTAGCAAGTCAACTCCTCTTATAAGCTATTACAGACCCTGCATACTTTTCCTTTAAATAATAATAAACATTATTATTGATGCAAATTTACACTTGTTGAGATTTTCTTTGAATAATGTCCTGTCCTCAGTAGGCTAAAAGTCCCATAAGAGCAGAGTTTTTGTTAACCATTTTATTTCAAGCACCTGTCATAATGTCAGCACATGGTAGGTGCTCACCACTGGATAAATAAGCCAGAAAGGGAAAGAGATGAACTTGTCAGAAATTTGGAATGAGAAGCAGGAGAGAGTGCTATCAAGGGACTCCAAGGTTTCAAGAATAAAGCAACAATAAGAACAGAAATGAATCTTGGAAAACAGTTTGACATCCCCACTATAACACAAGAAGAAACACTATAACAAGGAAGCAGAAAGCCGTAAAAAGCCGTAAGAAGGTAGTACCCTAGATGAAATTGAAAGAGAGCTGAGTAAAATAAGAAAGAGTTAAAAGAAAACTAAAAATACAACACAGGATCAATATCTCCACTGGGAGAAATAAATGGAATTAGACACTGCAAAAACCTGGAGCTGTAATGTACAGGGCAATCTCAAGAAACTTCACCAAAAATATAGAAGAAAGGAAACATTAAAGTTATGCAAATACTGAGAATAAGATGAGAATAAAAAATAAAACTCCAACATAATAATTATAGGAAATTATATGATTCACTATTTCTAAAATAAGCAAAACAAATAGAAGCAATATTAAAAATATAATGGAAAACTTTCTTGATTTGAAAAAAAATGAACATACAAATAAATGTGTGAACCAAATCTAAACAAAATGAAAGAAAGGTATTCTATACCCAAATATTCCTGGAAGTTCTTGAATTAAAATATAAATTAAAATCTTCTGATAATCCAGGAATTTTCATTACATGGAAATTTAAAACTTCTTAAAATAAACATAATGAAAAAAATAATAATTATGTTATATTTAAACCTTTAGATTTTTATCAGCTAGAAATGGCAGGGAAAGAGAGGGGAGTTTCAGATGAGGTTTCTGAAGTTTTGTAAAATTCTTCATCTTACTTTCAGAGGACTTCAAAGATTCCATTTTGTTCTTGACTTTGATGACTAGACACATATAGCTTCAAAGAAAGCCCCCAATCAATTCCAAAAAGCAGAAACTGCACAGTTCACATTTTCTGACCATAATCCACTAAAACTTGAAGAAAATTTTAATATTTAATGGAGAAAATAATATCTTGATAAGTGAAAACACTCAAGTACACTCCTACATAACTATTTGTTGACAGCAAAACTATAATGAGAGACTATTTGAAAAATGATAATAATAGAGCTATTGTATCAAAATTTATGATAAATTTTCAGGTCTGACTTCAGGTGTAAATTCAAAATTTTAAATGTCTTTTCAGCATTATTTATAATAGCAAAAATTGAAAACAACATAACAACAACAATAAGGCAATGGTTGATATTCAAACATTAAAAGTTATATTTTTAATCTTTTTCTAGTGGCATAGAAAAAAGTTCACAACATAACATTATGTGAAAAATGATCCAAAACTAGATATGGTTAAATGAGAGAGTATGTACAATAATAACCTCTCTGAAAATATAGACAGAAGTAGAAATAAGGATTAGAGAAATAATGACATAAGTATATGTGAGAAAGGTAAAGTTTGAGGGCCAAGTATACTTTCCATAAGCCAAATCATTTTTAACTAAACAGTTCAGATCTGACTCATATTTTTAAAATATGTCTTATTCTCATCAATACAATTTTATAAATAAGTATATCAAATTTGTGGTACTTATATGTTGAATTTTTTCCAATATGCTAAAATTACTCTGCTATGCTTGAGATCAAGCTTAGAAAGAACTACACACAGTCAATACAGAGCCGTAATATGCACAAATATTAATAATTCAATCTCTATAACAGATGTCATTGCTTATTCTAAACGTAAATTTTAAGAATAAGAACTGAAAATAGATAGGCTATATAAGGTAAACCTCATTCTATCTCTGAAAAACCTGAGGCAAAAGTAAAGTTAATAGTATAAATGAGTACAGAGAGAAATTGGATTTTCTAATTAAACAGAATTCTACAGTTTATATCAAACATGGTACTAATTTCACTTTGATTTGGTAGAAAGTCTTTGGCTGCTAAGAAATTAAATATGAAAATTACCACTACTTAACAAAGAATTCAGAATTCACAATAAACCTTGCTTTCAAAGTATTTACCAAGCATTGAATATTAAGGTCAATGTCGGCATACATCCCATTTAAAGCTGAAAGCTAAACAAGGTTTATTAGAGATCTGTGTGAATAGCCTGCTTCGTGCTTTCCCGGGATTTTCAATGTTTATTTTTCCCTTTAATAGGTAGCAGCATAATTATCTATGAGTAAACTAAGGAATGGTAAGGGATACATAAAGCAGAAGGTAATTACAAAGTATTGTGAAAATCCATAGTTTGAAACCTTTCTCAGGAGTATATGTAGATTTTAGTGACTACAGCAGATAAATGTTACTTTTGTGGCTATTTGTATGGAACTTCACACACACAAAAAAAAAATTGGCCTGTGGGAAAAAAAAGCTTCAAAAACATGAATGTATCATTTGCTGGCATTATCCCTTCTTTTGCAGTTATTTAAGGGAATGCCCTTAAGAAAACTGACACAGAAAGGGCCACTATAGAAAAAGGAACACTTATACACTGTTAATAGGAGTGTAATGTAGTTCAACCATTGTGGAAGACTATATAGCAATTCCTCAAAGACCTAAAGACAGAAATACCATTCAACCCAGCCATTTCATTACTGGGTATATACCCAAAGAAATATAAACCATTGTGTTATAAAGGCACATGCACACTTATGTTCATTGCAGCACTATTCACAATAGCAAAGACATGGAATCAACCTAACTGTCCATCAATGATAGACTGGATAAAGAAAATGTGGTACAGATACACCATGGAATACTATGCAGCCATAAAAAATGAGCTAGATTATGTCCTTTGCAGGAACATAGTTGGATCTGGAAGCCATTATCCTTAGCAAACTACCACAGGAACAGAAAACCAAATACCACATATTCTCACTTATAAGTGGGAGCTAAATGATGAGAACACATGGACACAAAGAGAGAAACAATATACACTGGGGCCTATCAGAGGGCAGAGGATGGGAGCAGGGAGAGGATTAGAAAAAATTAACTAATGGGTACTAGGCTTAATGCCTGGATGACTACATAATCTGTACAACAACCCCCCATGACACAAGTTTACCTACGTAACAAACCTGCACATGTACCCCTGAACTTAAAAGTTAAAAAAAGAAAGGTCACCATATTTTTATGGAAGGCAGATAAAATTCACTCCTGACACTGGTTTCCTCTCCCTTCTGGGTGTGGTAGACAGAATAATAAACACCCAAAGAATGCATGTCTAACTCTGAGTATATTAGGTTACATAGCAAAATGGAATTAAGGTTGCAAATGAAATTAAGGTTGCTGACCTCAACATGGGAAGATTATCCTGGATTTTCCTGGGGGTGGGGGACAAATATAGTTACAAGGTTCTTTCTAAGTGGAAGAGAGGGACAGGGAAGTCAGAGTTAGACATTTAAAGATGCTACACTGCTGGCTTTGAAGTTGGATGGGAGCCATGAGCCAAGGAATGCAGGCAGTTGCTAGAAGCTGGAAAAGGCAAGGAAACAGATTATCTCCCAGAACATACAGAAGGAACCCAACCCAGCTGATACCTTGATTTTAGCCCACTGAGACCTGTGTCATATTTCTGACCTCCAGAACTGTGAGATAATAAATGTATGTTGTCTAAGTCACTAAATGTGTGGTAATTTGCTATAGCAGCAATGAGAAGCAAAGTGCTGATGACATTGAAGAAGACATACTAATAAAAATCCTAAAGAAAATAACTCCAGCAGGAGAAGTTTGCCTTCTCCTCAAATACAAAGCATGAGAAAAAGAAATGAGTTCGTGGAGTTATGGCTATTTGGGAAAACTAAACAAGTTTTTAATATTACCTGAGATATTAAAGTACTGAAAAAAAACATGTTTGAAAAGAAAAGTACACTTTAATTATCAATCTGTGTATTGTCAATGTAAGGGCTTAGCTAAGGTTAAACTTCACACTCAGGGTCCCACCTCTAGGCAACAAATGGATTTCAAAGAAAATTGTAAAGTGTTACTCCAAAAGCTTTTACATTTTACAGTTTTGTACATTTCTATCACGTTTCCCTGATCCTGTACATTTATGTCTTACCTTTAGCATTGTGATGGCTAATTTTATGGATCAACTTGACTGGGAAGTTAAGCATTATTTTGCATGTTTCTGGATGAGATTAACATTTGAATTTGCAGACTGAGTAAAGCAGATTGCCTTCCCCAATACGGGTGGGCCTCATACAATCCTTTGAAGGCCTGAATGGAATGAAAAAACTGAGTAAGGGAGGATTTGTTCTCTCTGCCTGACAGGCCTCTAGCTGGGACAGAGTTCTACTTCTTCAAGATTAAACTCAAAATGGAACTTACCCCATCGGCTCTCCGCTATTCATCTGGCTGAATACAGATGTTGGAATTTTGCCTCCATAATGCATGCTTCAACTCCTTATCATAAATGTCTGTATAAATATTTGTATATTTACATTTATACAAAGAAATTATATATAAAATATTAATTTACATAAATATATATAAATTATATATAATTATCTGTAATATTAATTATATATACATAAGGCATATTGTATATGTGTGTTGGTTCTGTTTCCCTGGAGAACCAGACTAATACAAGTATAAAACATGGTTCTTAGTTGCCACCAACCAACCAACCAACACATAAAGAAATTTTGGCAGATTTAAAGAGAAACAATTTATTAAAAAATTATTATTGGAGATAATTCCATTCATTGGTGCAGATACAGAACAAGGGCAACTCTCCTGCAGTGCTGGTGGAAGTATTAACTGATAAAATCCCATTAGAAAAATGTTCTAAAACAGAAAAATTCAACTCCTAGATATATATACCCAAAAAGAACACAAAAAATTGTACATCAAAAGATACATAAATGACTCTATAAACAATATTCATTACCTGAAATGGCCCCAACCCAAATGTCTATCAACAATAGACTAGATAAGCAAATTTCAGTATCTTGATATGGTAGAATACTATAGTTACAAAAATAAAACTTGTTTCACATGATAACCTAGATGAATCTTATAATCAAAATGTTGAGCAAAAGAAGCTAAACACACACACAAATGCATACTGAATGATTCTACTTATGTAGAGTTCAAAACACATTTATGGAACTAGAATAATGGTTCCCTTTGTAATGACTGGGAAGAGTATGAAGGAGGCCTCTGGAGTGCTAGTAAAGGTATATCTTGATCTGGTGGTGGTTACATGGCTAATTCACTTCATGAAAAATAATCAAGTTGTATACTTGGGATTTGGCATGCTCTCTGTATCAGTCCATTTTCTCACTGCTATAAAGAAATACCCGAGAGTGGGTAATATATAAAGGAAGGAGGTTTAATTGACTCACAGTTCCACATGGCTGGGGACACCTCAGAAACTTACAATCATGGCGGAAGGGGAAGCAGGCACCTGCTTCACAAGGTGGCAGGAGGGAGTGAGTGTGAACCACTTATAAAACCATCGGATCTCGTGAGAACTCACTCACTATCACGAGAACAGCATTGGGGAAACCGTGCCTATGATCCAAACACCTCCCACTAGGTTCTTTACTTGACACGTGGGGATTATGGGGATTACAATTTGAGATGAAATTTGGGTGGGGACACAGAGCCAAACCATATCACCCTCTCTCTCTCTTCATCTCTGTATCTACACACACACATAAAACCTCAATATATAGTTAGAAAAAAGGAATATTGACAACTCAGAAAATTTGTGAGAGGGACCCAAATACCATTTGGATGCTATGAAGCAGAAACAACACCTAAAATCAAACTGAAAAGCTACCTCTATTGAAATGGGAAAAGTTCCCTTATCCCCCCTCACAGGTCGTGCGATGGGGGTGTGACTTGCTTCTGCAGTGCCCCTCAGCTCAGAGCCCCAGTGGGCGTGTGTTGGAGTGCGCTCTTTCAGTTTTGCCATCCGCAGGCGGCTTGTGTTAATCAGCTCAATTGGACCCTCTGCCTTATCACCAGGACAAAGAGCTTTCTGTATTCCAGGTTCTTCCCTTAGTGTACCAGAAAAATCGGATCACACGTGGGCTTAGAGAATGAGTGCAAGATTTTATTGAGTGGCAGTAGCTCTCAGCAAGGTGAATGGGGAAGCCAGAAGGGGAATGGGGTGGGAAGATTGTCTACCCTTGGAGCTGGGACACGCAGCGGCTAGACTCTCCTCAGACCACCCCTGCCGAATTCCACGTCACCCCACGTCAATGGCCCATCCGCATTAGCTGGTGCCTGTTGGTGTGCTCTTCTGCTCCTCTGCTCCTCTCGATGTCCAGCCGCCTGTTTGTTCTTTTGCCAGTGTGTTCCTCTCAACATCCAGCTGCTCGTGTCTGTGCCCGCTAGAGTCTTGAGTTTTTATAGGCACAGCATGGGGGCATGGTGGGCCAGAGTAGTCTTGGAAAATGCAACATTTGGACATGAAAACAGAAATGCCTGTCTTCACCTAGGTCTGTGGGCAAAGGCCCGAGGGTGGAGCCCTAGCCAGTGACCTACCCTTCTTTATCCAGCATTTCCCTGCCCCCCTCCTATATCACTATGAAGACACACTCTCACTGACCCTGAGTACAGACACCAGAATTTAAAATGCCATCACTAACAATTCAGCTTTCTGGATGTTATTCCACAGAGCAAGGGCCACTACTGTCTCTGTGACCTAGATGCAGCTACTACCTCTAACACTGCTCATCATTGGTCCCAACCTCTGCCCCATATAAAAGTAGATTATCCAAGCACAGGAAGAAGTTTAAGAAACTGAGCACCTAAAAATCAACAAAGTGTCACATTTCTCCTACACCTTAAATATATGTATTCTGCAACTATCTAATTTTGGCCCTCTTTTTATATCAAATATCTCTTTCTTAATAATCATGAAACTTCATAGAATCAACATCCACCCCCTCCATACCAATGGCTCCCAAACTTGTGCCTCTGGCTTAGTCTTTATGAGATGGAACATTGGGACAATCAACTCTCAACGTGGAATCTTTTTCAGCTTAAGTATTGCTTTATGTAAAAAATTCCTGGCCCTGGCTGGGTGTGGTGGGCTCATGCCTGTAATTCCAGCACTTTGGGAGGCTGAGGCGGGCAGAACACGAGGTCAGGAGTTAAAGACCAGCCTGGCCAACATGGTGAAACCCCATCTCTACTAAAAATATAAAAATTAGCCAGGCATGGTGGCACATGCCTGTAATCCCAGCTACTGGGGAGGCTGAGGCAGGAGAATTGCTTGAACCCAGCAGGCGGAGGTTGCAGTGAGCCAAGATCACGTCACTGTACTCCAGCCTGAGCAACAGAGCAAGACTCCATGTCATAAAAAAAAAAAAAAAAAAAAATTCCCTAGCCCTGCCCAAAGAAGGTCATTTCCACATAGAGTTATAGTGGCCCTCTACTGAAGCAAAATACAAAAGGCTTTTCTTCTGCAAAATGTCCTGATCACTCATACACTTATACCTAGAGGACACGATCTCCTTTCAATTACAAACAAGGAATTATCTATACTTCATCTCTCACTGGAGACCTCAGTCATTACTAGCCTGCTAACTGACTACTTTCCAAAGCTTGGCTGAGACAGCTAATATTTGAGAGAATCATTCAGAACTATAGACAAATATTTACTCTTTAAGATTCTCCAGACTTTATATTTAACTACCTACAACATTCTGACATGAAGCATTGCTTTGGTTCAACAAGGCTAATTTTTAAAAAAACAATAATAATCACATGAGGAAATCTACTTTTTTGTAAAGCAGATATCAAGAATATACTTATTAAATTTACTCTATTCCACACCTGTATTAGTCTGTTTTCACATTGCTCTAAAGAAATACCTGAGACTGGTTAATTTATAAAGAAAAGAGGTTTAATCAGCTCATGGTTCCACAGGCTGTACAGGAAGCATGGTGCTGACATCTACTTGGCTTCCAGGGAGGCCTCAGAAAACTTACAATCATGGCAGAAGGCAAAGGGAGAGCAAGGCATCTCACATAGCGGGAGCAGGAGCAAAAGAGAGAGACAGCAGGAGTGCTACACACTTTTCAACAACCAGATCTTGAGAGAACTCACTCACTATCATGAGAACAGCACCAAGGGAGAAGGTGCTAAGCCATTCATGAGAAATCTGCCCCTGCGATTCAGTCACCTCCCACCAGGCCCCACCTCCAACACCGGGTATTACAACTCAGCATGAGATTTGGTGGAGACTCAAATCCGAACCATATCAACCCCCCTTCATACAAAATTTCTTATGATAATATTTTCTCAGAATGTCCAGGAATAAAAGTTGTTTCTTCTGATGAAATTTATGCTTGTTGCCATAACACAGTGAAAGTTATGCAACTCTGTTTACCCTGCTGGCCCAGTGTTCCACTCCGTTCTCAGCTGAGTTAGTGTTTCTCACCTGTTGTGTTGCTGTTTGTGTCTCCTGCTCTCCCTTTAATTCATAGTTACTATTTTAACTTCATATTTGATCAAAACTATTTACTGTAAATCTATGATAAGCCAAGCACTCTTCTAGGTGTTGGATATACAAATAGGAAGTAAAAAAAATACCTGCCATTGCTTACATTGTTTACATTCCACTAGGGGCAAGATTGAAGTTGAATATGTAAATATACAATATATGAGATGGTGGTAAGTGCTGTAGGGAAAAAGGGAGGAAAGAGAGGCTGAACATATGAAGCTTGAACACGAGTTTAAGCATGGTGGTCAACTGAAAGGTAACAGTGAGAAAAGGTTCCTGTGGCAAGAGTGGAGGGACAAGGTGGGAAGCAGAAAGAGATAAAGGAGGCCAGATCACATGAGGTCTTTTACTCTAAAATGGGGTAAACAGAGAAGTTGCATGGTAAGTCTTGAGTTTTAAAAGAATTCATCTGGTTACTGTGTTGAAAACAATCAATCAGTGGTAGAAGAAAATAGATCAGTTAGATGACTTCTGCAAATCGACACTGGTTTGGATCACATAGAAGGATAGGACTGGCCAGGTGCAGTGGCTCATTACTGTAATCCTAGCATTTTGCGAGGCCAAGGCCGGTGGATCACCTGAGGTCAGGAGTTCAAGACCAGCCTGGCCAACATGGCGAAACCCTGTCTCTACTAAAAATACAAAAATTAAGTGGGTATGAGGGCGGGTACCTGTAATCCCAGCTACTCAGGAGGCTGAGGCAGGATAATTCACTTGAACCTGGGGGCAGAGGTTGCAGTGAGCTGAGATTGTGCCACTGCACTCCAGCCTAGGCGAAAGAGTGAAACTCTGTCTCAAAAAAAGAAAAGAAGAAGAGATTAAGAGGAGAGCTGGATAAAATAATAATAATTATTATTAATGAAAATCAATGGGAAATTCAAGGACAAATAAGACGTGAGAAAAGAAAAAATGTCAGAGACTAAGAATGGCATTAGATTTCTCTACAACACTGGAAACTGAGAAAACGGAGAAATGCCTTTGAAATTCTGGAGGATTTATTTTTTTCAAACTAATATCCTAAACCCAACCTGAAAGCAGAATAAAGGATCTTTAATATGTCAGAATTACCTTGCAGCCTTTCCTGCAGAGCAACTGGAGAACATGCTCTAGCAAAACAAGGGAACAAAATAGAAAGTAGAAGGCATGGGACTCAGAAAATGATGACCAGAACCAAGAGAAGGGTAAAGAAACCCCACAGCTTGACAGCAGCTTGGTACCCAGAAAGTAACAAGTCCTATTTTAAGCAGGAGGAACAAGCTCTCCAAAGGTAAGTTTGCTGAAAAAATATAGACTTGATAAATACATGGTATGATAGATGCCATGGTGAAATACATGGTGAAGGGGCATCCATGTAAAATAATTTAGGCAAATAAACACAAGGCAATTATTTATTGCAACTATACTACACTTCTGAACTCAATAAACAGTACTTACTTTGTCATAATGATATCAACACAGATTATCTCTTAAATAAAAATAGTGCTAGAACTATATTAAGAGCACAGGAAGAGAACACAAAATATAATCTTGGCAATTTTCACATACATAATACATTGTTATTAGTTCTCGGCACCATATTGTAATATAGATCTCTTGAACTTATTCCACCAGAAAATGATAAGTATGTGATGTAATGCATATATATGTTCATTAGCTTGATTTAGGCATTCCACAGTGTATACAAATGTCAAAACATCATGTTGTACACCCATAAATATACATAATTTTTATTTGACAATTTTTAAAATAAAAAAATTTTAAAAGAGGATCGGAGAAGGGGTTGAAAATACAATGAAATTAACATACAAATCATAAAAAATACTCAATATATGGCAAACAGAACCAATCAGTAAACAAACAGCACTTAAAACATGCTGTATAGAAAAACATGGAAATCACAGGAAGAAAGAATTCAAACCTGTTGATCCTGGAGACAAAATTTGGATGGGCTATCACTGTTTTTTATTATAATTACTTTTTGTATTATTTAATTTATTTTAAAAAACCATGTGTATGTATTAATTTAATAAAACTTTTATAAATTAGTTGTTAAGAAATCAAAACTCTCATATTTATTAAACCATTATCCAATTTGACATAAGTAGCCTGTATTAAATATAAGGTTTTTACATATTTATACAATTACACATTCACACACGTAGACACACACACACACACACACACTTTTAGTGTGCTACTTATGTGTGTTAATAGGGTTATTTGTATAATTGTTGCATCTTAAGGGGGTACTATTTTCCCCCATATACATAGTATAAACAGAACAAATGGATTTGATTCAGAATTTCTCCAGTAGTTATCTCTGCACAAGAAAATAATGTTTTCCTAAAAACCTGTAAGCTATTTTTAAAATCTCCATATGAATTGTGATTACCCTAGTAAAATGGGAGATTATTATAGAAATGCTACATGACTTTCTCCTATCCAGCAGTGATAAGATATCTCAGAATGATTTTTGCAAAAAAAATAATGTATTACAGTTAAGTCAGCAAACTAAGTCAGCAAACTAAGTCATCTATTGAATGCAAATGCACCTAAAAGCCTTGTATTCTTCATTTATTCTAAGAGGGCAAACATTCAGCAAGCCTCAGTAATAAATCTTAATATCATCAAAAGCAGACTTGAAAAATCTTTCCTTTCCTTTAGAAAATTAATCCCTCCCCAATAGATCCTGTGGGTTTTCACACTGTAGTTTTGTAAATGTTAGAAAGGCACAGCTGAAAGTAATCAGAAATCTAAAAACACAACAACAATAAACAGCAACAATAAACCAATTTAAACAATAAGACAATGTATCGGATCACGTAACTGAAAGCCCAAGATTAATAAGGTTCAGGGTCAACCTAATACAATGACTCTACTCTGTTGTCCTTCAGTTCTCTTGTGTCCACCCACCTCCCTCTCTCATCTTCATCCCCTGGGTGGTAGCAAGATTGTGGCATCAGTTCCAAGTCTCCCATCTCCAAAGGGAGAGACAGGGCAACAATTCCACAGCTGTTCCAGAAACTCAGATGTGCCGTTCTTGTATGAACTATGTGTTTCTGATTCTTTGACATTTTAGGACCTTGCTAATTCTGAAGAGACTGCTCTTCTCAAGGTTGCAATTCCTAGAGATCATAAAGGGCTCTCCTGCAAGCATGCCTTTGACATGCAAACCAACCAATCCACAGTCCCTACCCATAACCACTTCTCTTATCAAGCTCTTATACTCCAGACCACTATCTACCTGCCCTAGTCATCCCAAGGGCCAGGTATCAAACAACTAAGGACAGTCAGTCCCTAAGCCCCACAGCCTGTTGAAGTTATCAAAACTAGCCAATCCTTAACCTGCTTACCTTGCCTTACCTGGTATGTCCCATAGAACGCACAATATAGGATCTTGCCCACCTTTGGGCAAGAGCTCCTTCTGCCTCTTGACCAACATCAGTCCTTCCTCATGTAGCCTCCATGCGGTGGCATGCCCCTTCTCTTGGGATCTGTGAGTATAACGAACTGTCTTTTCGATGACAGTTGTCTCCTAACCTGCTTATCTCACCATACCTAAATAATAACAAAATCTACATTTAAAACATTCTTCCTGCCATAATTGCCAAAATTAGACCACACGTCTACCCCTAAACCAGTCAGTAGCAAAGAAAATAAAATTACACTTAGAGATGGGTTTTCCAAAACTGTGTGAAAGGATGCTGTTTCCAAAACTGTGTGAAACGATGCTATAATAAACTCACTAGGGTGTGCAGTATATTTTAGATTTTTGAAGGAAATATAGCAATACTCAACATCTGTAGGACATTGCAAAAACTGTTAGCTCAAGGTCATTCACAATTTCCACATGAGATGCCAAAACATTCCTTTCAATGATGATATACCTTTGAGAAGCTGTTTTTTCAGTAGTTGTTTTGTTAAAGACCAAGCATTGCACAAAATCAATAAGGTTGAAGTAATGAGGGTGGTGATGTACAATCTGAGCCCAGGTTTGAGAAGTTTTGAACTGCTAGGTATTTCTTTTGATCTAAAGACATCATAACAAGTTACTCGGGAGTGTAGTTAAACCATTGTGGAAGACAGTGAGGTGATTCCTCAAGTATCTAGAACTAGAAATATCATTTGACCCAGCAATCCCATTACTGGGTATATACCCAAAGGAATATAAATCATTCTACTATAAAGACACATGCACACGTATGTTTATTGTGGCACTGTTCACAATAGCAAAGACTTGGAACCAACCCAAATGCCCATCAATGATAGACTGGATAAAAAAAAAAATGTGGCACATATATACCCTGGAATACTATGCAGCCATAAAAAAGGATGAGTTCATGTCCTTTGCAGGGACATGGATGAAGCTGGAAACCATCATACTCAGCAAGCTAACACAAGAACAGAAAACCAAACACCTCATGTTCTCACTCATAAGTGGGAGCTGAACAAAGAGAATACATAGACATAAGGAGGGGAACATCACACACCAGGGCCTGTCAGGGGTTGGGGGGCTAAGGAGGGTTAGCACTGGGAGAAATACCTAATGTAGATCACAGGTTAATGGGTGCAGCAAACCATCCTGGCACATGTATACCTATGTAACAAACCTGCATGTTCTGCACATGTACCCCGGAATTTAAAGTATAATTTTTTTAAAAAGTTAAGCTCCCTGGGTTACTCTTTAGGTCTCGGTTCCGCTATGACCTCCTCAAAGAGGCTTTCCCCATTCAGCCAATATAAATAAGCCCCTTTACCAACATTTTCTGTCTCTTGCTTTCTTTTTTACAGCACATGTTACTGTTTATCCTTATGCAATATATTTATTTATTGACTGGTATGCCAACTAGACTGCAAGCTCCATGAGGGCAGAGATTTTTCCTATCTTGTTCTCCACTGTACCATCAGTATGGAGGACTATATCTAGCCCAAAGTAGTCCTTTAATATTTGTTGAATGAATCAATTAATAATTAAACATATTCTCTTCTATATAAATATGTTTTGTGCATTACAAAGCACATTAAAAATATTAGGGGCTGTAAAATAAATGCACTCATAATATATAAAATAAAATGAAAACTGCACTCAATGCCCCCTTGCCTTGCTCCCTCCCGCAATTCAGCCTCACTGTGGGTTCACTAAGCCTCCTCTTAGAATCAACATTTTTTTCTCTTTATGTTTTTTCTTTATAACTTTTATCTCTCTTAATTTTATTGTTAATTTCATTGTAAATTATAGACTGTTTAATTTATAGTTGATTAAATATTTCTTCTATTTTCTCACTTATTAATAGAGAAAAAAGGTTAAAACTTCTATCTACCTCTAGGGTTCATAACAAGCAGGTATAATTGTGTCATGACTCCAAAAATAGGTGTTAATTCCTACATTGACAGGGACCACGTGGACCACAGTTTAATTTCCTTAGAAATTATAGTAAACCTTTTTATAGATACAGATGATACAGATCTAGATAGATAGTACTAAGCTATACCTGTTGAAAGAGTAACAGAATTTAATTCATATTTCTTTCTTTAGGGTCCTTCAATTCTTTGAATTACTATGTTCTATGATTATTTTATGTTTCCAGCATTATTTTAATAAATATTAATGCAACATTCCTAGTGTGATTTTAAATCATACATAGAAAAAGTTTAGTGATAATCTACCTCTGCCTAAATTGATAAAGTTGTCTTTTATCAAAATAGTTTTCTGCGTTATATTCTTGTTTTTGAACTGCCATCATTTTAACATTCTCCCAGTGATTGAATGTCTGTTTGACAACTACTTTACAGAAATATAAATTTGTTTTTCTCACCTCACACTTACTGCTAACTAGGTGAATGGATGCTGGGCATGATACTAGAAAATAGAGGTAGTTATTTGGTTTTTATAAATCTTCCAAAATACACCTCATTCTGGTTATGGCTTAGTAGAGTCTCCCATCAGTGCTATCATTAATGTGATAAATAAAATAATTAAATATTACTAATTATTTTTGCAATACAAAAATAGATAATATCCAATTTCAGAGGGCCTAGGCTTCCTGACTTCCTAGTGAATGCCGACGCTTTTTAATGCCAACATTTGTGGAATGAAAGTGTTGAAGGAGGGTTCTCTTTCAAGCTTTAACAAAGCCCAAATTTCAGTAAAATAAAAGTTAATGTCACTTTATTAATTACACATAATTCATATTATCAACTTCTAATACAATCTTTGAAGAAGTCAAATAGCATCAGCTTACCCTTTAACACTATCTGCACCCTTTTTAATTAATTACATCTTTAAAATATTGACTTCCAAAGCTAACATAATTCTTTCAGGATTCTTCTGTACTGATCAGGGAATTAGGCTTTGTATTTTTCATAATATAATAAAAGAAAAAAATGAACTTTGAGGTCAAAAAGATCATGTTTTTAATCCTCTCCTTTCCATTTAACAAGGCATTAATCAATTAACCTATATGAAGTACACTAACGTTCTTCATATGTGAAAGTGTGGACAACACGCAGCTTCAATGGTTTGTGTGAGCATTATGGAAAACATTCATGACACAGGAAAGCACCCAGCATTACCTGGTACTCAGTAGGCATGCCATAAGTATGTCATGCTTGGAGGGATCACTGTCACAAAATGTGAAATGAGGTTACGACATAGAACTTTTTTAAAGGCTACAAAATATCATAAAGCCAAATTTTAACCTTTCTATGCCTTTATCTATGCATTTAATTTAGTCAAAAAGCATTACTGTGTCTCTTATGTGTGCAAGTCTGGATTCTAGATGCTAGGAACCCCAAGATATCCATTTACTGATTTCAAGGGGAAAAAATGTAGTTGTAGGAATAAATGTGTGAGAATAAAATCACAAGAAAATGCAATAAGAATGTTTACCTAGATACTTTATGAAATTGACCAGATATTTTGGTTTTATGTGGATGTAGCCATGTCCATCTTTCTAATTCAAAATTCACTTAATCTATGTATAGATTATGCAAACTGTTGGTTCACTAATTGGGCTCTGAAGTCAGTATCACTCTAGGGAACTACTAAAAGGATGAGAAGATCAGAATCTGGTTCATTACTCCTCACCCTGTTCTACAACAAGCAAAGATGTCCTGACTTTAGCATCTTTACATAATGGGGTTCAATTCAACAGTTTATTAATTTAAAAGTTGTCCAGAGCAAACAAATAAAGGTTGAAAGTCACTAATAAGAATGATTGTTTCACTTAAGCCAGGCAGAGGAAGACAAATATCACATGTTCTCACTGGTATATGAGAGTTAAAAAAGTTGATCTCATGGAGGTAGAGAGTAGAATGATGGTTACCAGAGACTGGGAAGTAGGGAATCTAAAAAGAGATTGGTACGAATGTACAAACACACAGTTAGAAAGAGTAAGTTCTAATGTTCAGTAGCAGAGTAGGTTTACTATAGTTAATGACAATGTATTGTATATTTCAAAATACCTTAAAAAGGGGGTTTGAAATGTTCCCAGATTATAGAAATGATAAGTGCTCAAGGTGATGGACCACTCAGATCCCCTGATTTGTCATTACACAGTCTATGCATGTCACAAAATATCACATGTATTCCATAAATATGTACAAATATTTAAATTAATAAAAATAAGTAAAAATAAATCTTATCAGACAACTCAAAAAAGAATTGTTTCATTAAAGCAAACTATTCAAATTTAAATATCATAGAATTATTGCACATATCATCTCCAAATTTTAGCAAGGGTGTTATAGGAAGCCTCTCCGCACATGTGACCTTTGAGCTCAGACATGGAGAATGGAAAGAAACCAACTATTCCAAGAGCTCAGGGAATAGCATTCCAGGTAGAAGGAATAATTCCTGCAAAAGCTCTGAAATAGTAAAGTGTAGAAAACAGTTTCATTGAAGAAAAAAGGTAGCCAGTGTGAGCCAGTGTGGCTGACGTATCGCAGACAAAAATGCAAGTGGAACAAGATGAGACTGGAAAGGGAGGTAGTTTTGAGATTGTGCAGGCCCTTGTAGGTCATAGTAAGGAGTTTGGATTTTATTCTACATTCAAGGAAAAGTCACTGAAGGCTATGATTAGGGGAGTCTTCTTTAAAAATTGCTGTGGCTTTAGTATGATAATGAATTTGAAGGGAGCAAGAGGAGAAAATGAACAAGTTTAAAGGTATTAGTATAGTGAAAGAAAGAGATCATGGTGTCTTAGATTAGAGTAACAGCAGTGGAATTGCAGAGCTATGGATATATTTTGCAAGTAGAATCTTCACAAACTTGCTTGTGGATTGGATGAGGTAGATACAGAAAAGAGAGAAACTGAAGATGATCCCTCTTTATTTTGTGAGCAACATGTGGTGCCATTTACTGAGATGGTGATTTCTGGAGGGAAGACAAGTCTGGGAAAACAATCAAGGTTCTGCTTTGGACACACTAAGCTTGAGATGCCTGTTTGACAACCCAGTAGATCAAGTAGGTAACTAGGAAATAGAAGAAGGAGAAGAAGGAGAAGGAGAAGGAGAAGAAGGACGAGGAGAAGAAGAGGAGGAAGAAGAACTAAGAATTATTGGGCACTTTTACTATATATGAGATACTGTCTGAAGTTCTTGGCATGTATTAAGTCATTTACCCTCAAAACAGCTTATGAAATAAGTACTTTTAGTATTATTAAGTACAATTACTAGTATTTCTATTGTATTACAGGGGAAATTTAGGCACAAAGAGAGTAAGTAACTGGACCAAACAAGTAGTAAATGGTAGAGCTGGGAACCAAGTCCACTCAGTCAGGCCCTTGAGCCCATCATCTTAACTTCTACACCCCATGGCTTCTAGGACTTGTGGCCCAGGAGAGCAGCCTCAGTTGTAAATAGATATTTGTGAGTTCTTAATTAATAAACTTTTTAATCCAAAATATATTTATCGAGCACCTGCTATGTGCTCACAATGCATCGGATGGTAATAAAGGTTTTGATGAAAACAAACACAGTGTAAGGAAAGTAGGAGTGCCTGGAGTTGGAGTGAGTGCTGTGTAATACAGCGTAGCCAGGGATGGTCCCTCTGAGGAGGTGATATTTGAGCACAAAGATGAAAGAAGTGAACATGCAAGCTGTGCACATATCTGATGAGTGAAAGTGTCACAAACAGAAAGAACAGTAAATTCAAAGGCCCTGTGGCAGAGGCATGCTTAGCATGTTTAAATATCAGCGAGGTAGCTAGGGTGGCTGGAGTAGCATAAGCTAGGGAAAATATTAGGCTGAAGAGATACTAAGTAATCAGATACTATTTAAACCATCTAACTAGATGAGATCACCTATGGAGAGTGTTTAGAAAAGAAAACCTAGCCCTGAAGCATTTTTTATTTAGAAGTCAGATAAAAAAGAAGAAACTGCAAAGATAGAAGGAAAGCTCTGCAAACAGGAGAAAAAGCGGAAGAGTGTGATGTCAGAAAAGCTAATAGCAGAGAGTATTTTAAGGAAGTGATAAATTGTTCAATGCTTCTGACAAGTCCAACAAAATGCGGATAGAGTCAGGTCCATTAGATTTGGCAACATAGAAGCTGTTGGTGATCTTGACAAAAGTAGGTCCACTGGAATGGTAGAATGAGGATGGGCTTTATTATCAAACTAAAGCCTAAATTCTTGTTTTACCATTCATAATTTCATGCACCTTTCGTAGGTTCCGTAAGGTGAACCTACTTTTGTCATCTGTAAAGTAAGGTAAAAACATTCCTCTTGGCCAGGCACAGTGGCTCATGCCTGTAATCGTAACACTTTGGGACGCCAAGACAGGCCAAGGTGCTGGAGCTCAGGAGTTCAAGACCAGCCTGGGCAACACAGTAAGACCCCCATCTCTACAAAGATTTAAAAAATTAACTGGGCATGTTGGAACATACCTTTGGTCTCATCTGCTCAGGAGGCTGAGGTGGGAGGATTACTGGACCCTGGGAGGTCATGGCTGCAATAAGCCTTGATTACACCACTGCACTCTAAACTGGGCAACAGAGTGAGACCCTGTCACACACACACACACACACACACACACAAAATCCTCTTACAGAATTGTGATGATTAGTGATAATGTATATAAAGCATCAAGCCACTCTCTGATCCTGGCCTTTTTTTACCAGCCTTAGTAACTGAGCTTCTGCTTGTTTCCAAGGCCCAATTCTCATCTTGTGTTCTGTTAGAAATTGCAGGGATGCTTTTAAAGAGTGGAAATATGATGACATAGAATTAAGGACTCAGAAACACCTGAATATCATCATTGGCCAGAATTCTCTCCAGGCTATGTCCTTTAGGAAAAGAGAGTAAAGCATCTTATGAGATGAAGCTCCTAAGGTGCTCAGAGGCCACACACCTCAAATGGAGATGAAAAGGAGCAGGGCAGAGACATTCCCCCTGTGCCTCCCATGGCTGATTGGGGCAGCGGTGGAAGAGGGGAACTAGAATAGGGTTAGGTCCAGGACCATGGAAGGATAAAAGCCTCTGAAGAGAGAAAAAATGGCTATAGCTACTTTAAAGGAGCCCACGTCTTATCATTCTGGAAGGAAGAAACAAGGTAATTCATGCCCATCTGTGTTCTTTTAAAAAAAAAATTTTTTTTGAAAGTTCTACCTTCTTGCACTATGATGGAAAGAGGGCCTTCGAATTGTATCTATCCCTGACAACATTCCTTCTTACGGTGAAACCTGTACCTGGGTATGGGAGTGGGGAGTGCAGGGGGATGTGGAGGGTGCAAGAATAGAAAAGAGCCTTGGGCTCCCCCTAGAGGTCTGTATGCTCCAGTTTGCTTAACCAGATTTCTGCCTTGTTCTATGACTAAATAGCTACTTTAATAATATTCTTAGAACTAGAAACCTGCTACACACTTTCCATTCTTTCCCCTTTCCACCATACCCGCATTTAAGTTTCCCCCAAAATCCAGCTCTGAAGCCATGCCTTGCATACTTGAAGATTTACTGGCAAACTCCTTAGATACCAACTGCCTGCCTGCCTTGACATCTGAGATTATTGATGCTGAATTCTCTCTTATTGCATATTCTCACTAATTACTGTTTTGAAGCCTCCAGAGAGGACTGTTTGCCTACGTATTGACAGAGATTCTAGATATCAATTCAGCCTCCTATGCTGGATTTCTTCCCAGCACCTGCTCCAATCTAATTTCAGATTTCTAAAATTCAATCTAATTTCAGATTTTTGTTCTTTCCATACAGCACTGTCCTGTTGCAGTGAACGTGCAAAAACTGGCGATGTCCTAAGCTGAATCTGTGTTTATTCTTGCAATTGGCTTGAAAATGTTGTTTGCCATTAATGAAAAATGTAAAGCAATGATTACTTTAGACTGGGAGACCCTGGATAGCAGGGTTAAGCCTTAATTATCTTTAATCTCTAGGATCTAGCCCACCACCTGGCATATAGTAGATGCTCAGTAGATGTTTTCAAAGGAACAGAATAAATTAATTCACTTTCAGGCATTTATGAGCTAAGCTCAATATCACGGGGATAATAGCATAGTTGTGTCTAGCTGACTTTACTTTTGAAGCGGTTAATGTGAATCCAACAATTTTTCCAAATTTTCAACAATTAAACTAGCTTACTATAGGCTTTTTCTAGTGCCCTTTCTAAAAAAATTAAAAAGAGAAGCCAGTCTATAAATTTGAGGTTCAAGGATAGTCACTAACATCCTTTGAGGACTTGAGGACATGTCGTGAGTCATGAGGTGAAAGGAACTGAAAGTGAACCCTGGAATAACAAAACTGCCCACTTTTTAAGGAAAATGGGGCTTTCTCTAGTGTGGTAATGCCTTCACGACATTCCTTAGGCAATTGAATGATCATTTCTCAAGGATTTCTCAAGAGGAAGAAAATAGGTCAATAAGAGAGCTCTGTCCATTTGGTAAGAAGTTACCTCAAATTCCATGTGAATGTTTGCACTTAAAATATAATGATTTTTAAATGACAATTCTAAATATTAATGTGAGATGCTGGTAAAAAAGTAGTCAGTTATACTTAGATAATTTACAAAGTTATGTCACAAATATCTTCATTAAAACTGGCAAAAACAGCAAAAATGCATCTACCTAAGAATTACTATAGGCCTAAAATACCATATTTGTTGCATGAGTATGATATCAGCCACTGATGTTCAAAAATAATTAAAAGAACGAGTTGCTATTTTTTTAACAAAAGTCCATTGATTTGCCTGGTTTTCTTTTTATTCAACAAATTTCACAACTACTTTGCTAGTCACTAATAATACAAAAAGGAGAAGGGACTGCCCCTAACCTAAAGAGTTCTCATTCCAGTTAAGTAAAAAATTATACCTTGTGATTATTATCTCATATTTTACTAAATTAGTTAAGCTGACCAGCTAATTGGTGTTAAATAGACACAATCAACTTGTGTCTATTTAAAATTTGTTGTGCAACATATGGGTTATCTATATTGTGTATTTCTCCTCCTTCTTAGCCCTGCTGCTCAGTTTTGTTATTTTACTACTTAGTAACATACTCATGAGACAATGGACTCAGAAAACCGTAACAAGTGAAATTATTCTTCAACTGACGTATTACGAAAAAAGACTTGCATGCTTAACTGATAAATATAAATGTGTAAGATGCTTTTGGATTACTATAAGAAAAGGTAAAAAGAAATGTGAAGGAAAGATATAAACCAACAACTCACAAAAGAAAAAAGGTTCACCTCATTACTAGTAAAATAGATGTAACTTTAAAACAGTAACATGCCATGGGTCACCTGTTCTGAAAACAGTTTTCAAGATTGATAATGTCCAGATGATAAAAATGTGGCAAGAACAGAATTTCATATATGATAGTAGAAACAAACAATCAAGATAATGTTTTAGGAAGAGATTTGAGTGATATGTCTCAAAATTTTAAATTTGTATGTCATGTACCCAGTAATTCAACTCTAGAAATCTACCCTATAGAAATATTTACACCAGCTCTCAGATAAGAATGTTCATTTGAGCCTTGTTTCTAATAGCAAAATTGGAAATAATCTGAATTGTGATTTACAAAAAGGGAGATGACTGAATAAATTACTGCACAAATCATATAATACTAAGTAGCAATTAAAAGGAATGAGGTTAAACTATGTGTACTGACATGGAATGTTATCCAGCATGTAGCTTTAAGTAAATGGAAAACAAGTTGTAAGTGTACAGTATAATTTCATTTTTGTGATAAATAGAAACCAACAAGCATGTATGTGCATGTGTTTGTTTATGCTTAGAAAAAGTCTAGAAGGATATTTATGATCATTAACATAGGTTCCTTCTGAAGAGTGAGACTGGGGTCAGAGTGGAGGAACAGCTCATGTTTGTATCGTTTGATTTTTTACAAATGCATATTAATTTCACTTTTTAAATGTTTTAACTACTCTTTTCTCCTCCTTTATCAGCAGTTCTGAAAAAAGAAACATTTTAGAGCCTGGATTTAAAATTCAAATCCTGACTTGGCATTTTCTAGATATCAAACTAATACCACAGTCTAAAAAATAGTAGCCATAATCTTTAGGTTCCATGTCTGCATTGACACATATACATGAAGGCTTTGTTCTAAAATCCCATAGTTTGAGACCTGAAGCAGAGAGTGTATACCAGTGAACACTGCTTATGTTGTGTGTGGGGTGAAATGCTATATGCTAAGAAGGATAAGCCACAGCCAAGGAGCCCCATCACACAATTCGATGCTACCAGAACTCAGTAAGTAGAACAGTCAAGACTCCAGCAACCCAATCTTTATGAAGCGTATTTGAGAACTTTGTACACAGATACATTATTTAACTTCAGGATTCTCCATTTAAGGTTATAACCAAATTGCTTCTGTGAAGTATTTTTGGGCTGCTAGATATTTTTGTCTAAAAGAAGTTACTTGTAAAATCTTAAGACAGACAAATTTCGCAAAAATTTTTCCATTAGCATATTGAAAAATGTCACATGTTTTCTCTATCAGATTTCATAAATTGACAGCCATTTTATTAAGTTAAATGACATCAGCTTTAATAATGTTTTTATTTGTCAGTCATTAGATTATTGTTCTATATTTATCTTCTTCCTGAGAGGAAAATGAACAATCAGTACCATATATCTTTTGTCCAGAAAAGTTTCTTGTCTTCCAGGATTTTATTGGATATTCTATAATAATTATAATAGTGACTGTGCTTAAAATTTATTGTGAAATTGCTGAATAACGAACACTGTTCTAAGTGCTTTACATAAATTAACTTATATTTAATCCTCATAACAAACCACAGAGGAGGCACTATTATAGTCCCATTTTATAGAGGAGGGAAATAAAGCATAGAGAAGTTTAGTAACTTCCCATAGTTATACAGCTGGTAACTGGAGAAGCCAGACTTCAAGTCCCAGGAGTCTGGCTCCAGGGTCTGTACTCCAGTCCTGACTTCTAGACCATGTTGCCCAACTACCCACAAACCAGAAGTATGTGTGATTGGGAATTGCAAGGCCAGGGTCTGATGAAGGTGAGCATAGAGTGTTGGTATGAGGTATATCACAAGCCTTGCTCATCCCCACCTCTGCATTCTCCACACCCAGAAATTAACAGGGAAGAAAATATAATCCCTTTGCACATATGATCATTTAAAATGTCACATTTTCTGAAGAGTATGGTTTTGTCATTTTGATGCATATTTCCACCTCCTACAAATACAGCATTCACTGAAAAACAAAATTACTCTGAATTATATAAAACTCCTTATCTGATATATCTTGAAACCATAAAATAATAGTAGTAGATCAATTATATTGATCCACACTAAGGCTTCCAGGACACCAGCCTGAGCATACACCCTTCCCAAAGGGAAAATTCCAGGAAATCTCTGACTCCTTGGAATACTCTAAACCAGAGGTTGCTCATTCACACACCAATAGGGTCCAGAAAGCCAGGAAGGTAAATTTAATATGTAGATCCTGTGGAGTATAATATAATCAGCAGTGGGGAAACGTGGAAGTAACTGGAGAGGGCACACTTCACCTAAGAACATGCAGATTTAGTTTTTTAAACACTGAACTAGTCACATAAAATACAGCAGAAATTATATTCTGCTCTAAACAGAATAGCATAGCAATTTGCCTCTTGGTCCGTCCAATCTGACCAGTTTATTCCATTTCCTGGAGCACTCTGTTACTGTTCTTACTCTTCCTCTGGCCTCAGCTTAATGCCAATCTCCCAACAAATCTTCTCTGACACCCAGCAGATTGGATTAAGTGACTATGGTATATACTTTTCATTATAATTTTGTTAAATATAATTTTTATTATAATTTTTTGTTCAGAAGCTTGCTATTAACTATCAATCCCCGGAATATAAGATCCCTGAAGGTAGGAACAGAGTCTATCTTGTTCACTCTTAAATTCATTTAGTCATTCAAAACATAGTTATCGCACTCCTATTAAATTCCAGGTACTATTATTCTAAAAACAAAACATACCAGTGAGAAGACAGCAGGCAAATTCTCTGTACATAAGCCTCATTGGTCTTATTTTAGTGGGAAGATGTGGAATGAATGAGTGAATTAATTAATTCATGAATGTGTGCTTTGTTAGATGGTGATAAGAAATGCAGAGTATAAAGTAGTTAGGGCAGAGGGTGTGCAGGTTGGGAGTAAGGGTTACTGTTTATAAAGGCTGGCAGAGAAGATCTCTCTAAGAAGGTGACATTTGAGCAAAGACATTAAAGAAATTATGAGTAATACATAAAGCTATCTGGGGGAGAGCTTTCCAGACAAAAGGAACATTGAGCCCACAAGTTCTTAAGCAGGAAAGTGCTTTGCCTGATTGAGGAACAGCAAAGAGCATTAGTTTTTGGAATATGCTCAACAAATGAATGAAGTAATTAATGTGTTCTCAAAGACAGAGCTGTTGAGAAGCAAAATATAATCATTTTAATATTACCTTCTCTTCCTTCCCTTATGACAAAAAAAATGCCAATAAAGAATGAAATGACAGAAAGATTAGAGAAGAGGGGCAGGAGGGATCTAGGTACTATAATACATAATTTAGTAAGGATGATTTCATGATTAACTCTTTCACATTTGTTCATTTACATAAAGGCCTAAAGTTTGGCATGGCCAAATGATATGTGCACCACAGTGCAGATTTATTTAACACCAGTATATGCACCATTCACCAATATCTAACCATGATTGTTAGACTATTTTTTACTTTTGAAAAATTGTGCTTCACCTTTTTTCAAATGTTTGAGGTATAAACCTCAAACATTTATATGTTAATTGGCATTATATATTAGTAATTGATCTTTTCTATTCTTCATGTTTCTTATCATTTAAAATGCATTAGTTACCATGGAAGCAATGTCACGGAGTAAGGGCAAACCTGGTGACATCCACAAGTGAAATATGAAATCAATTACCATAATGGCTGTGCAATTTATGGTAGTTACTTAGAAAAGGTTTAGCTGATCTAATGTGAAATAAATATCGTAGAATGTGTGGGAAGGTGTGATCACGCATCAAAGTTTCTTTCTCCCACAATCTCAGGTGAATTTTATTACAAGCCACCATCATAAAATGTATGTCTTATTTCAGATACGTTTTTGCCACAGAAATCATCTCAGAAATGGTTCATAGTTTCAGTTGTCCTGAGAAAAGAGTGGCTATGAAATAAAACAGTTTCATTTCCTATAGCTTATTCACTGCTCTTCCACTCCAGGATCCTTGCCTCCTTCCAAGCTGCCCCTCACTCTGAAGTGCTGACCTCCATCCAGTGACTGCTCTGCAGAAGATGAGTCTGCCTCAACTCAGGAGAAGGCACAAGGTCGACAACCACTAAGATGGTGAGATTTTAGAGCACCAAGAACATATCTATATAAAAACATTACCCCTCACCTATGGTTTCTTGTGCATGAAATTCCACCATTTATTTCAGTTTGTTGAGTATCATCTTCCCCCTAAAAAAAAAATAATAAAAAAATAATAACCCTTACAAATTTCAGATCTGAATTTCAGAAATTTGAGACTAGAATGCATCTCAAAGATCTTCATATATTATGGCTGAGGAAACTTGAATCCTTCAGTGAGTAAATGGCTTTTTTAGGGTCAAATATCAAGTAAAGAGCCAAGCTAAATGAGAGAATGACTATCTCCTAACTCTCAACAATAAACCTGGAGCACTAGGGACCTGGAAGAGGGATGTGGGGAAAGCAGGAGAAATGGTTGCAGGTAGTGTATTTGGAATATAATTCCAATGAAATGGAATGAAGATCCAGAGAGATTAAAATGGGAAAGAAGGGAAAACCAATATAAGAATGATTCACGGGTGGTTAAATTTAGAATACTACACAACGGTGAAAAAAAACAGCCACTAACACTTGCAACAATATAAGTGAACCCTCCAGAATAATATTAAATGCAGGAAATGAGGCCCAAAATAGTATACATAAAATTCAAAAACAAAGAGGGCACAAGGTAGACTTGTGAGGTGCTCAAAATAGTGTATACCTTGATCTTGGTGGTGGCTACATGGATGGATGTATATATATGTAAAAATTCATAAAGCTGTATATTTAAGACATATAAGATTTTCTATAAGTTATGCCCCAATTTTTAATCTATTTTTTAAAAATGTTTTATTGAGTTGGCCAGCTATATTAGTCTGTTTTGCATTGCTATAAAAGAATACTTGAGACTCGGTCATTTATAAAGAAAAGAGATTTATTTCTGGCTCACAGTTCTGCAGGCTGTACAAAAAGCACAGCACCAGCATCTGCTTCTGATGAGGGTCTCAGGAAGCTTTTATTCATGGCAGAAGCTGAAGGGGAAGCAGGTGTGTCACATGGCAAGAGACAGAGCAAGAGAAAGAGGGAGGAAGTTCCAGGCTCTTTTAACAACGAGCTGTCACGTGAACTCACTCCATTACGAGTAAGAATTCATCTATTATCATGAGGAGAGAACCAAACTATTCATGAGGGATCTGCACCCAAGACCACACACCTCCCACTAGACCCCAACTCAAACACCGGTGATCACATTTCAACATGATATTTAGAGGGGACAAACATCCAAACTATATCACCAATACTACAGGAACTGATGCCCAATTCTGACAGAACCTTTAAGGAGTTGTTTAGAGTGAATCCTAAAACTGCTTACTAGGGGCATTAATTCTTCCCCCACATGAATGAATGACAAGTGGATCCCCAGGTGTCTGCACCATGGACTCAGAAACTCCAAAGCAGAAAGCAAGAGATGCAAAATTCATGCTAGTAAAGAGGCTCTGGCAAGATAAAGATGGACATCTGTGCAGAATTGTTCTCCATGACCATGGCTGGAATCCGAGGTAAGACCGAGAAGATGTGAAGCAATGATCAAGATGTGTGTGATCCATATGGACTTCTCATACATGCCAGGGACATTATATTCCAGGTGAAGTATATAAATGTCACGTCTTGGTGGGTGTAAAAAGGGTGGCCTTAGTGAAAACAATAGAAAAAGGACAAGGCAACATAGCTATGCCTCAAATAAAATAGATCCCACTGGGCTTGTGATGCTTTTAATTCATTCATTCCCAATAAGAAAAAGCATTGTGTGCATATGGGAATGGTTACAAAAGGGAAAGAGGGGTAGCACTGCATTCTCCATAGCCTTTCCTTTCCACAGTGAGACACCAGTAGGTCCACAGATGCATGGAGCAAGATCACTATCAATGGAGGTAAATGGACCCATGAAGAGATGCTTTTAATGACAGAATTAGAAAGCCAAGAAAGAGTTTTGGATTAATGTGAAGATCTCCTTATAACCAAATGCCCTGCAGTGCAGACTCTGAAATGAAATGTTACTAACTACTTATAAAAGTCCCCTTTGCAGCAAATAACTTTGAGTGCTTTATAACTTTCTTTACAGAAGGGAGGAATGAGGAATGTGCCCCTTAGTAATAAAATTAAGCACATTTATACTCCTATATATTAGTCTCTCTGAGAGACCTCAGTTATGTCACTGACTTGGCTTTCTAACAGAATTCAGCTGCTAAAATAACACTTTAAATTCCCTGTAGCAAAATTTACAATGGGCAGAGAAAGTAACTGAGGCTACATTAATTATACAAACCAGTGTTACAGATACTGTTGTTACCTGACTGCAACCAATCTCCGTACACTCCTTCCTCCTTTCTGTCAGGTAGTCCTTCCACAAAGATCTTAAATGCCTCAGTCATGGAGTTGCTCTGTATGGCTCAAACCACACAGAACATTCCACTTTCCTAGCTTCGATTACTGATTCAGGGTGTCACATGACCAAGGTACAGCAGTATATCCTCTTCCTTGGGATGTTTTCCTGGGTGATCATAATGGTGAGAAATGAGGCTATCATCTTGCTCACAACCTGAAGGTGAACCAAATGTATGGGGAAAAGCAAAGTGGAGCAATTATCCAGTCCATAGTACCTCTAGACCTACAGATAAGGGGTGCCAACAACTTTCCACATTGTTTAAGATAGTTTGAGCGGAGTTTTCTGTTGCTTGCTGATTCATTTATTTTGTGTGTGTTTCTTTTTTTTTTTTTTTTTTTTTTGAGACAAAGTGTCTCACTCTGTCGCCCAGGCTGGAGTGCAATGGCACGATCTCGGCTCACTACAACCTCCGCCTCCCAAGTTCAAGCCATTGTCCTGGCTCAGCCTCACAAGAGCTGGGACTACAGGCATGTGCCACCACGTCCGCCTAATTTTTGTATTTTTAGTAGAGACAAGGTTTCACCATACTGGCTAGGCTGGTCTTGAACTTCTGACCTCAAGTGATCCACCCACCTCGGCCTCCCAAAGTGCTGGTATTACAGTCGTGAGCCAACCTGCCCGACCCTGTTTCTATTTTTAATATTCTGAAGCTCCACTAAAGGCTAGATGAGCAAATGCCAATGGCCTCGCTGAAACACAAGCCCAACACCCTGGCATTTCCATATTGAGGTTCATCATCATTTTCCATAATTCTTGGAGATACATAAGATATTTCCAAGTTAATTAAAATAAAATATATTTCTTCTCAGATAAACTTACTTGCCTATGTACTCCTGTTTTTTGTGAATTTTGTTATGAATTCCAGCTTCAGTAAGGGCCTCTGATTCTACCTAAATTCATCCCAAATCAGCACTGAGGCCCTAGAGGGTAGCAACATATTTGCCTGGAATTTCATCTCAAGTAAAAATTAAAAGAGTATAAGAAATTTCTTTTTTTCTCCATTTAAAAAAAACAGAGCAACTAAACACATACCAACATGATTCTGAGTACAAATTGTGCTTAAGGAGAAAGAATTGTTCCTTCTTCTTCTCTAAAAGCCTTTCACTCAGGAATTTTTTAAATGCTAAATTGAAGTGAAACAAAACCCAAACAGCCTCGTAGCAAATCATGTTATAAGGTTTGTATTCAGAACTGTCTAGGTTTTTGATAGAGAGAGAGAGAGAGAGAGAGAGAAAGAAAGAGAGAGAGAGAGAGAGAGATACAACTGCTGCAGACCCTATGTATTGGAGTTGTTTTAACATGGACACTAGTTGTCTGTTTAAAAGATTTAGTAAAACCACTAGCTTTCACATATTTTTATCATGAATCAAAATCTAGTCTTCTACTTTCTTCCTCTGTGTTCTGAAATTCCCAACTCTGCCTTGATATTTTGGTAGAAGAGCAATTCTTGATGTCTTCAGGAGCCCACACACTCTTTCCTCACTTTATGTATTTCTCCATTTTATGCTCTTATCTTTTTATTCTATGGCAAGTTAAAAAGGGAATATTTTAAAGTTGATTTTTAGAAAGAAAGGTTTTCTTTGTCAATGATGTGCTTATCCTTTACTTTTTAAAAACTGCTCAACACAGCGTGTCTATTCTGCATATTTTAAGAAAGGTATTCTTTACTGTTATTCATTACTGCTTATACGTGGAAAAAAACTAAAATCCTGACATAAATGAACATGTCAGTCATTTTTTTCTGTTTTCAACCAATTGTGTAAAATTGGTGAGTGTGATTGATAAGCTAGATTGTCTTTAAAATAAATAATAATTTCACTCTAGAGTTCAGCTTAGGATTTCCTTTCTGACTTGTCAGAGAAAACACAAGCCACAGTTATGGTTAGAATAGACTAGGTTATGCTGCATTAACAAGCAATGCTAAAATCTCAGTGGCTCAAAAACAAAATCAAGGTTTATTTTCCACTCGTGCTACATGTCCATTGTGGATCAGCTGGGTCTGCTCTGCACTGTTTGCACTCAAGATCCTGGCTAATCAAGAAGTCACCATTTGGAACACTGTTAATCATTTTAGCAAAGGAAAAAGGAGAGTGTGGCAAATCACCCAGTGGCTCTAAAGGCTTCAACCTAGAAGATGTTGCCCACATTTGAATGACCAAAGTAAGTCTCATAGCCACTCCATGAAGGAAGGGAAGTGCAATCCCAAAATGCCCTGAAGAAAAAACCAGAAGGAGCTAGTAAATAGCATCAAAGATCACCACACCATCAGATGTAAATGTCTTCACTTTCCCACTACAGATCTATAAATTTTCCTCCCCAGCCATCAGCTCAGCCTTCCCTACTCCAACAATAGAATAGAAGTCCTTCCTGACTAAACTCCCTTTTCCTCCTCTGTTCCTATTATCTCAGGACCCACTTCTATGAATTATCTCCTCTTTCCCTCATCTTCAACTCCTGTTCTCTTGCACCTTCTCATCAGAATTCATATTTGTTTCTCCTATCTTAAAATGTAAAAACTCACCCTTAATTTTCTCATTTTCATTTCTTCCCAACTGACTCTGCTTTACTCCTCTCCTCTACAGACACATTAAAAAATATTTTTAAATTGTTGTGGGTATATAGTAGGTGTATATATTTATAAGGTATGTAAGATATTTTGATACAGGCATACAAGGGGTAATAATCACATCAGGGTAAATGCAGTATTCATCCCCTCAAGCATTTATCCTCTTTGTGTTAAAAAAAAAATCCAATTATACTCTTAAAATAACTACAACCACATATTTTAGAAGAGCTGTAGACATCCCCACAGGTATTTCTTCAACTCCCATTCATGCCTCAACTCACTGGGTCTGTTTCTACCTTCACCACTTTCATTAAAGTCATCAATAACCCCTTCCTTGTTAAATCCCATGTGTGCATTTTTGTTCTGTTGCTTAATCCTTGACAGGTTTGTCCACTCTCTCCTACTCCTGAAAATGATATCTTCACTTGGCTTCTGTAGTACTACTTTTTTTTACTTTCTTCTTAACTCCCAAGGGGCTCTGTTTCCACTCACTTTGAATGAAACTCATTCTCTACCTGTTCTTTAAATGTTGATGTTCTCAGGCTCATACTGTGGTCTCCCTTTTTTCACACCCTACCTTATTTTCACCCAACATGGGTGATCTCAACCATCCCTATAACTTCAGTTATCATCTACATGCTGATTACTCCCAAACCAGACTGCAAAGAGCTGACACAATTTCAGCCATCCTGCCTAGGACACTACTCTTTCAGTCTCTGCCTGTGCCCATGGAGTATTGGCACCTAATTTCTAGATATACCAGGCTTCATTTATGAGAAAACAGTCCTCTTTGAAGCTAAAATTGACAAGAAAAAATAAAATATACTATTTTGTCAGCACTTACCTAAATTGTATTAAGTAAACACTAATCTGCATGTTTATTTGTTTAATATCTCTCTTCCTTTGAGCTATGAGGAATGCGGTGGAGATTTTGTCTTATTTACCACTGTATCTCTAGAGTCTGACACAATGGGTTCTCAATAAATAACAGTTAAACATTGATGCAATTTCACTTGGCACCTCTCACCTGAAAGGATTCTCAAGCATCCTTTCTGAGGGGATGTGGTATACCTGATTATATGTAGGTGCATAGGAGTGCAGGACCTACCAAAAGACCTGTCTTGTTAAACAAGACCACATGTTGCTGTTCAACTCAGAGTAAATACAAGCCATGATTATTAATCTGAGTAGACGGGGTTGTGCTACATTAACAAGCAAACCTAAAATCTCAGTGCCTCAAAAATATCAGGTTTATTTTTTGCTCATGCTACATTTCTACTGATGTTCCCTACCAACAGAAGCTGTATGAGAAGTTTTTTGGACCGAATTGTGTCCTCCAAAAGTTATATGTTGAAGCCCTAACTCCCAATGAAACTGTATTTAGAGATGAAGCCTTTAAAGAGGTAATTAAGGATAAATAAGGTCATCAGGTAGGGCCCTAATCCAAGAGGACTGGTTTCCTTAAAAGAAAAGGAAGGGACACAGGGATGCTGGCACACAGAGAAAAGGCTGTGTGAGGACATAGCAAGAAGGCAGCCATCTGCAGACCAAGGAGAGAAGCCTCACTAGAAACCAAACCTGCAGGTACCTTGAACTTGGATGACATCCAGCCTCCAGAACTGTGAGAAAATAAATTTTTCTTGATTGAGCCACCCAGTCACAATATTTTGTTATGGCAGTCCTGGTAAACTAATATAAGAAGTAAAAATGAAGTCACTGATGCCAATAATCCTATTCATCTGGGACGCTGAGCCTGTCCTGTGAAATTTCAAGGACCAGTCAGAGGATTGGTCCAATTTTCATCCACTGCCAATTGGCAAGAATGTGCTGAAGGGCATGGCACATGATCTCACTCTCCAATGAGACTCAAAGTCATTCCAAACAGTCATTCTTTCTATTAAGACAACTCTTCTTCGTAGAGTATTGAACTCTACCTGAGTGGGCAATTCACTAGAAGGCAATTCACCCAGCAGCAGGACACAGCAGATCTTTAGGAAGAAGGTAGCCCTGGTGGATCCAGATAGTCCTCTCCTTAAAAAGAGTTCTGAAATACTGCATTTCCTCAGTAATACAAGTCACAGATGCATTTGGTCTTTGACAGCAGCCCATTTCATCCCTCTCCTAGTCTATCTTCTCCTTACTGGGCTTCCCCATGCTTCCTCCAACTCTATAGGCTTTGCACGTAGACACACTCCTGGAATGTAAACTGAGGAAATGTTCTTATCTGTCTCACTGACCTCTTCCAGCTCTGGATAAATGAGTTATTTTTTAATACCAGACTTAGCAAATCACAACTCTGATTCAGGATGCAAAAAAAAAATGAATTCTGTCATTTAAAAACCAGTAAGTTATCAAAAGTCCCATATATTCTATCACTGTATTCATAAAAAAATATGACAACTTTGCATGTGTTTATACGTTACACAAGTCAGAAATATGATTTTAATTATGCCACAAAACAAAACAACACTGTTGATACAAGGTCTTTAATAAGGTTGGTTACATTGAACAACAAGAAACAAATGCTCTAACAGATTATTTTTAAACCATGTGGTATAATGGCAATGAGTTTATTATCATTTCTAATGACAAAATTAAATATGCAATTATGATTCCCATCCCTCAGTTAGATAGAAAAGGAGTCCCAATCTAAATTCTATGTGATGCCCAGAAATAAAGAATCTGAACAACCGCAGTTATCATGATGACTCTTTGGAGTTAGCTCCCATCTGTCTCTGACGAAGTCTCCAGTTAACCCAGAAGGCGTTATTGCCCTGAGACAGGCTCAGGAAACTCCTAAACCAAAGAAGCTACAGTTTTTGATTGAACAGAAACTCTGAGAATGGATTACCTGGGGAAGTGCCAAGCTGCCCTGAAAAAATACAAAATTTATCATCAAGCTATTGTTGGAACATCTCTACCCTTTGGGAAATCATCCTAAAATTGCTTCCAATCCCAGTGGCTGCTGTCTATCTCAGGCCTTCTACTTCCTAATTGCATTCCCATTTTGATCCCTTATGACTAGATCATTGAGTATCCCTATCTCCATCCTATTTCTTAGCCCTTTTCTGAACTTTCTGTTCCCAAGAGGTTGTCCCATGTGTCTTCTTGGTTCAGGTATTGTCTGACCACTCACAGTGAATTGACTTCTCTCCACAGTCTGCTGCTGCCATCTTTCCACAGCCTCCTCGCCACAGTGTCTTAGGAAGCAGTCATTCATCTTCATGGACCATCCCCACCTCATCTCTTCTGTGTAGCAGCAGAAACAAAAAGAAAGAGGATGTTTTGCTATGATTGAGTTTAGTTTGGTTCTTTGGGGTTCTATCCTTGGCCCTCTGCTCAATGAAGGAGTAGTTTCAGATATTTTCCCCTCATCCCAGACAGAACAACAGTTTCTGATTCACTTCATCCTCCCACTGTCTCCGCCACAACCACACAATACCTTTCAACAGTGCCTTCTGCCAAAAAGCTTGGCCACTTCTGCCCTGAGTCCTACAGGTAAAATTAGCATAAGATTCATGTTTTCTTTTGAACTTTGCTTGACTTATTTTTCTAAAGGTTTTCTAAACTCTCTTGCACTTAAACCCATGTTGTAATGCTGTTAAGTCATTAAAGCAAAGTAAAACAAAGAAAACAGCTTCAGGGTACTGCTTTTTAAAATCTTAAAGGATGAAGTCAAAACAAGAATTTCCAGAGTGGCTCTTTGGTGAGGAGGATCTGATGTCTCAAAACATATATACAGTCACTCCCTACCTCACAGAGAGGCATCCCATAATAGCTCTTCCTTGCTGTGTCTTTCCCAGCAGTTGCCTCCCCTGCAATGCTGCCTGCTGCCTTGCTTCTGTTTGACCTTTGGGGAGGTCTCTGCCCTTTTTCTCAGATGCACCTACTTCAGGTTGCCATCTCACAATGACTGAGGTATTTGCTGTCACTCATTCACCCCATGCATCCAGGAAAGTGATTACAATGCAGTTCTCTCTTTGAATAAATAATGTAGATCTGCTGATTTCTGAATTTACTCTGTGTGGAGGTCAGTTCCAGAAACACTCGTTGCTCTCTCTCCAAAGCTTCTTTTCTCAGATATGTGTAAATGATTACTGTTTATTATCTCTCTTAGTGAAGGAAAGAAAGAAAATAATGAAGAAACACATGTATTGATCACAGATCTGAAGCCAAGCAGTGTGTTACGTGTTTGCACATGCATTTTTATTTTTGCAACAGCTGAGTCTCTGATTTGAACACAGTATGATTCCAAAATCCAGATTCTTCCCAATACATCCCACTGCCATGCGCCACACAGAGCAGATGTCCTTTTAAGAAATATGGGAAGAATAAATATGGGATGAGTGGCTGTTGTGCTAAAAAGAATTGTCTGTGACTTCTGTTCCAGTCTCTCACTGACTTTGCCTCACCTAGTCTCTTGTTCATTTGTTTTTTACCTAAATAGTGCAACCAGAGGGAGCTTCCAGGGACAATGTCTGAAATTTCAGCCTTGTACCCCTCTACCTTTTCAAATAAAAGATTTGTAGTATGCAAGACTTTTCATTTAAAGTAAAATTGCTACATAGATGCCTATGCATAGTTGTGATAACAAATAGGAACACCTAGTAGATGCATTAACACAATATGTATTTGGTTTACTAGTGAAAGCATGAACCTCAGTAACTGGGCATTCAGTGGCTTCATTTTTGTAAGAGAGAAGAGAATGAGGAGAAGGAGGAAGTGAAAACTCAAGGCACTAACAAGGGATGGCCATCTTTAGGAGGGCAGACAAGGAAGCACAACCCAGTTAGTAAATCAAGGGTGGAGTTAGCACACTCAAGGAAGGAGGAGGTAGAAAGAGAAACAAAAGGGTACAAACCCAATCTGGGCCTAAGGGACAACCCCACCTAAACTGATTAGGGGAGAAGAGCTAGAAGGAACGATGAGAAACCAGCAAAAAGGAAGAGAAATTTTCCACAATGGCATCTGAGCTTACCTCTATTACAGAATACATACCATTTTCTGTTGAAAATCTGTTTACTTGCCTGCACCCTCCTTTAGATCATCAGTTTTTAGAGGACAAGGACCTTGTTTATTTAATTTGTGCAGGACCAGAGCCTTGTGCACTGTCTGGCATGTAGCAGAGGCTTGATTCATGTTTGATGGATGAATGAATCAAATCATTTTCCTTTCTTTTCTATTTCCTATGCATAACATCTTGGCTATGAGGAACTGGATGTACTTCATATATGATGGCACTTCAGCTGTCTGAACTGTCATCATATATGAAGTACACTCAGTTTTGAGGAATACCCAGGGTTCTTAGAGGTGCCAGGGGTCCTTGAAATATATAAACTGTGTCATTTACAGAAATGCAGCATACACATCCAACTCAGAACTGTAGCAAACACATCTAACGTCTAACAAATATTGGGTTTTTTAAAGTTTTTTTCAAGTTATTATTTGTAATAGGCATTTTATTTATTTTCAGGGGTCTTTATTTATACTTCTTTACATAATTTATTTTTATATAAATCATTTACATCAGACTCTATTCAGGCTTCTATTACATTATACTTCGATATATGTAAGACAGGTTTAGATGAAATATAGCTAATGGTTCCAAAATAGTTCCTGTAGACATGCTATATATTTTAAACTTAATTTAATTTCCTTCTTACGTACCAGAGAAAAAAAAAGTATGAGTTTTTTTTCCAAGCATCTCTCTTTCCTCATTATCAAAGTATTCATACTGAATTATTTTTAAAAGGCAGCATTTAGTATTCAATCAAATAATGAGAATGTGTTCCTTCCCAGTGGTTTAATAATAATTCTTGCATCACCAACCCTGAATATTCATGTTATGGAAATGTGCCCTACTTCTATAGATTTCATCACTGTCAGCTGGTGCCACAGCAGAACACAGGGACAGTCAGTCTTAATACAGTCAAGATTTCAGCAATTACCAAAGTGTCTTCTCTGACTTACCATCAATAATTCAACTTTTGAGGAATATAATGCTGAGACACAGGAGGCTGACCAACAAATATTCTGCTATTCTTTGGAAAACAGCCACCTAGCTGCATAAAATTGTGATGTCATTTGACTGAAGTCCTGCTTCGGCTCTATCTGCATGACATAAAGACAACTGATCTATTCAGGGAAGAAGTAAATCCATCAAGCCAGTTTTGTTTTGTTTTTTCGTCTTTGGTAAATCAAGTTATAGAATATATTTTTTTCTCTTCATTTTGCTGTTAGAACATAGCTTGTCAGTGGTCTGATATTCATCATCCTCATTTCTCAAAACATGTGTTAATCATGCTTTAACCTCGATTTTCTGTTAGTGGTGTGACCTTGGTCTAGTCAGTCCCTCTAAGAGTCAGTTTCCTCATCTGCAAAATGAGGAAGTGGGATTAGGTGGGGGTCAACGAACTTTTTCTGCTCAAGGAGAGATAATAAGTATTTTAGGCTTTGCATGACATATAATCTCTGTTCCAACTACTCAATTCTGCCACTTTAATGTAAAAGCACCCACAGATAATACGTAAATGAATGAGCATTTCTGTGTTCTAATAAAATATTATTTTACAAAAACAGGCAGGTGGCAAGACAGATTTGGCTGCATGCAGTAGCTTGCTGACCTCACTCAAGTCTTTTTCAAGTCTGTGATTCTATATAATAGATACATAAAAAGCACCTAAAGATCAAAAGGCAGAATAAACCTACCAAGTCCCTCAATCATCTAAAATGTAAGGGGCATAGAAATTTCCAATTACAGAATAATTCCTCTAAAAAAGTCAACTAGGCCTAAGTGAACCCAGCTGGTTAACAGATTAACAAAGTTCATTCAACTCTTGCCAGTCAGTGTCTATGTTATTAGTGGCCCTAGCATACACAGATGCCATAAAATTAGGTCCAAGTCTCCAAGCTGTTTGTGTATGAGAAGAGAATATGCACATCAGCTTGCAAGAGTAATAGGATTTCACTCCAGGTTTTTGTTGCCTTGGCATTGAAGAAACTAATCTGCATTAAAAACAACATATTAGGTCACATTGTAGTTTCAAGCTTGCATCTCTGGGTAAAGCACCTATTTTATTTAGTAGCTCAGATGGTAAAAACCCTGAAAGGAAAGGTCATGTATTAATCCTTTTAGATGGTCTGTGAATGTCTACAGTTTCATTCTATTCTGCTACTATGAACTGCATGCACCCAAACACACATGCCATAGTCAGAGAATGCTAACCTGTGGAGACTGAGTAGACAACTGGTGCCGAAAGATGATTCTGTTATATTCAGAACAAGTTTAGACTATTTATGGGGTATAACAATTGCCCAAGAAACATATCCACAGTGACAAAGAATACCAGGATTAAAAAAAAACAAAATGAATGACAGTCTGTTTGGTTTATAGCAGGGCTTCTCAACCTCAGAACCATTGGCATTTGGGCTGGATAATTTTTTGATGTGGAGGACTTCTATGCACTGTAGAATATTTAGCAGCGTCATCGGCCTCTACATACCTAAGTTGTCGGGGTCCCCAACCATTTTGGCACCAAGGATCAGTTTTGTGGAAGACAATTTTTCCAAGGACAGGGGTGGGGGGTGGTTTCAGAATGAAACTGTTTCATCTCAGATGAGACATTAGTTAGATTCTCATAAGGAGCATGCAACCTAGATCCCTCACATGCACAGTTCACAATAGGGTACATAATCAGTCGCTGCTGATCTGCAGGAGGTGGAGTTCAGGCAGTAGTGCTCACTCTCCAGTCGCTTACCTCCTGCTGTATGGCCCAGTTCCTAACAGGCCATAGACCAGTACCAGTCCACGGCCTGGGAGTTGGGGACCCTTGCACTAGATGAAGTAACAGTAACTCCCATTCCCCCTTCCCCTGTCATGACAAACGAAAATGTCTCCAGGCATTGCCAGATGTCCTGGGTTGAGGGAAGGGGAGGGCAAAATTACAGCTAGTTGACAACGTCTAAAGTATAGAAAGTTTAGATATTTAATTGGTCACAAATCATCATCCATACCTCAGAAGTCAAATACTACTCCACACCAAACCTGATATTTACAAATGTGTTATAATGACTTTCCAGGTCCCTTCCAACTAATTCCAACTAATCACAAAACAACAATAAGAAGAAAAGTGGAGCGGGTATTGTCTGGGGAAGAATATTGCTGTCTAAGTCCTTTGTCCTAAACTGTTTCTAACTCTTGTTTAATAGCAATGTTCTGATTTCTAAATTATACACATAGGAGAACCAGACAAGACTCACTATGTCCAACTTCACTCCTAAATTATTGTTCATTATTGCTTGCCTCAGTTACTAGTGAAAAGATCACAGAGCCTTAGGCCATAGCTCAATGTCCTAAAACTCAGTCAGCCTATGTGAACTTCAGCTGTTGAGTTCCTGATCTCAAACTGTTGTTCCAGGACATTGGTCTCTTCATCTACCTTACCTAAACCTCTGCCTGCCTTTCCCAGTTTTCTGAGGGAGTAATGTCTGTACTCCAGACCTACTGCTGGGTCCCTACTACCTGCTATACACTTTCCAGTAAACCATATTCTACTCATTGAGACTTCATTGGGTCATTTCCTTCCTGCTGATATTTTTCCCCATCTGCTCACATATCTGTGTTCCAATTATCCCTGTTCTGTGGGGGTCTCATTGTTGGGTTCTGGGCATAAAATCAATTGCCTACTTATTCATTTTAAAGAAATAGTAATCATAGAAGAAAAAGGAGAGAAGGAACTGTGTGGTTACTTCAAAGGCATCCCATCTTGAAAAGCTTCCTAGTATAACCTGACAACCAGAACTCTATTATTAAAAGAAAAATCATCACAGGATATGCTCTTATGCTATGTTACTATCATATAAGGCTTTTCAACATTCTGAGTCATGCAGAAATTTCTACTGTTCTCTGATATTTTAGACAGAGAGAGCAAAACCAGAAAGATGTCAATCAGGTGATATGATCCATGGAATTGTTCTTCTATGCAAGTTAAAAAAAAAAGTAGACACAATAACAAGTTGAAACTGAACATGAGATTAATTTTAAATCTTACACAAAATCATGTATAACTTCAGCTGGGGAAAATAATGTTAAATCATGTTGAATTACAAATATAGGTATGTATATTCTTATACTCTTCTTTCAGTATCCCAAGGAAAGTTTGTCTATGCATAAAGGTGGCCAGGAAACGTTTATTTAAACACAAAGATAGTTTTTATTTCATCTCTGAGGTCAGGTGGAGAAGAAATTCTGTTTGTTTGACTTATGCTGCATATAATGAGCACCAGTGAAAAATACCTGAATTATAAACACACCAAACTGTGCAGTCTTAACCATGAGACATGCAGGAACTTCAAACACTGGCAGAGAGAAGAGCATGGGCCAGCATCCTGGGTGGGATTCAGGGAATTAGGGTTGGGGCAGACACAGAGGTAGCTCAACCAGCTGAAAGTACAGAGCAGGAGAAGTTAGCTGCTGTACAAATCCCAATGGGAAAGAGGCCTTCCCCAGTGCTCAGAGTGGGGTTACTTCCATAAAGACCTATAGAGTAGAGCTCAGCAGCAGGCAGAAACCACAGTAATGTTATGGTTCAAGGAGGGTCCATCTGATTGGAAGCACATCTCAAGCCAACAACTCAAAGGGCATAGATAGTGAAAGGGACAAGAAGTGTGGGGTTGAGAAGTTCTGTTGAATAGAATGGCTGTCAGGCCTCTGTTGAACATACTGGGTTTCAGTTCAAGGCTTGAGTCCCAGATGGCAACGTAAGTACAAATCAGGAAGAAGGCCAGATATCCAAGAAGTCAGTTTCCAGAATCCATTCACTGGAGAGGATAAGATTCTAATATTCCTAAGCCTTGCTCATGCATTCATGCAATCTTTTGTTCAACAAATGCATACTAAACACCTACCAAGCACTGCTAGACACTGTTCTTGGCTCTGCAGAGTCGATGGGGAAAAATAAACATAGCCCTGGTTCTTATAAAGAGCTTTGCTGGAATTGCTTTGAGGCTTAATTAGCACTGAATATATAGATTACAAAACATCACATCAGGGCTAATAGACACTACCAGCGCTAGCAAGATCAAATGGCCTGTGCCCTTGAAAAATTCTGCTCCATCCCAAAGGTAGCCAGTTGGGTAGCAAGAAAAGAATATAGCGGATGTGCATTCTGCCCACACCCACTATGAGGAACTTAGTTCTACCACCTTAAAAGCATTGCTAAATAATAAATGGAGGCCATGATGATGATGATGAGCAGTAGTAATAGTTATTTAATTGTTTTGGGATCCAGCCAAGAGCCAGAAATCATACAGGTTAAACAGAAAGAAATTAATATAAAGAATTGTTAATTTTGGCCGGGTGCAGTGGCTCACGCCTGTAATCCCAACACTTTCGGAGGCCGAGGCGGGCAGATCACGAGGTCAGGAGACGGAGACCATCCTGGACAACATGGTGAAACCCCGCCTCTACTAAAAATACAAAAAATTAGCTGGGCGTGATGGCATGTGCTTGTAATCCCAGTTCTTCGGGAGGCTGAAGCAGGAGAATCCCTTGAACCCACGAGGTGGAGCTTGCAGTAAGCCAAGATCGTGCCACTGCACTCCAGCCTGGCGACAGAGTGAGAATCTGTCTCAAAATAAAATAAAATAAAATAAAATAAAATAAAATAAAATAAAGAATTGTTAATTTTATAAAAGTTGTTAATTAAGTACTGAAATGGCAAAAAGAGAACTCTAAGGTATCATAGAGGTAGCAACCATTCCTAGAATTCGAGGAACAAAATGAAGATATTAGAATTATTAACAGTTAGAAGCCTGGAGCACAGGCCTCACAGACTCCTGAGGAGAATCTGATGGTGCTGAGTCCCTGAGCTTAGCGGGAGGAGGCATCCCATGGTTCTGGGTCCCAGATCTCTGAAGAAGGGGAGCCAGCGACTGATGCTGACTCTGTGAGTGTCAGGGAAACCACAAACTGGACTCCTCTGCTGCTATTGGAACAAACTGCTGCTGCAAGACTGAAGAGGCATTGCTGGGTGATGCTCATGGGAAAAGAAAGCCAGCAGAAAGCAAATAGGAAGAAAAACAAAAACAACAGCAAAAAAGAAAGAACATGTTCCATCTACCTCCTCCTGCTTACAATTTCCTGTAGTATCCCCAACTGACAGGGTTTAACCAATCAAAAAAGCAGAAACATGGTTTGCAGATGCCCACAGCCCATGTATCAAAAAGCAAAATGTAGACAGTTGGGTTTGAAGCTGAGAGATGTTAGTTTAATAACCAACCCAGTAATCAAAGGCAAATTCTTTACCTTCCTGAGACATAGTTTATAAAATAAGGACAATAATGCCTAACATAAAAAGTCATTTTAAGAATTAGACAAAATGTGCATAAAGCACTTCACATAGTGCTTGACAAATAAAATGCATTATTTCACAACAGTTAATCATTTCCACTCCTGCCTTATCATTCCAAGTACACCTGCTATCCCAGTACCTTTCTTAAACAACCACTTCGTAGAACTCCACATGTGGCCTAATCTATTGCCAGGATGTATCTCAGTAGGAAAAAGCTATTTGTAAGGCCTTAGCCAACACGGAGTTCTTCCAGGTTGGAGATGATATATATATCTTGTATTTTAACTTCCTTCCCTTCCTGTAATCCTGAAAATATGGCCAAAAATTTTCACCCAGATTCTCCTTTGCCCTTGCCACTATCAACCCAAGAGGCCAGCTCTTCCGGTCCATGAAGACACATTTAAGTTCCTTCTCTCTTGCCCATGAAAATTTCTAGCAAGATTTAAAAGTTGATCCAACATCCCTCACCCTAAAGAACAGTCTTTGATACCTTGTGGCCTGGGAGGATCACAGGCCCAAAATGTGAACATAGGAACCCACACCATTTTTCTGATGTTCTCAATCTGGCAGCCATTTCTGCTCAGCATCGTTTGAGACAGCAGAGACCTTAGTTCTAGGAAAGAGAAGTATTGACAGTAGAGTAGCATCAGGTGCTGTGTGGCACATTTTAGAGGCAAGAGCTACCATGCCCATGAATGGTCCATAAAAACCAACTCCTGCAAAAAAGCAAAATGTAGTTCTTCTATCTCACCTGAAACTATGTGTTCCTAATAGTTTACTCCTTTCCTGATCAATGGCTCATTGGTTTTATCTTTATTATTTATAAGACCTTGGAAATTTTTTTAACCTCTAAGCTTTGTTCGATTCCTTGTGAAATGGCATTCCTAAAACTGTCCCACAAATTTGTAACAGGGATTAGATAAAAGAACATATGCTCAGAGAAACGGGGAAATAGTGAATTGTTTAATGAATATAGACTTTCAGTTTTGCATGACAAAATAGTTCTGGAGCTCTGTTATAAAACAACATGAATATACTCAACATTACTGAACTATAGTCTCAAAAATTGTTAATAAATTTTATGTTTGTGTCTTTTAAGCATGTTTTTAAAAATGTTTATTGAATGAATGAATAAAAGTTACTATTATGTATGCACACATGTGCACGCACACACACACACACATACACACACAGACACAAGAATACATATTCATCACTCATCACAATGCCTGGCATATCATAAGATTCAAATATCTATGAGGTTCTGTCTGTTTCCCTTTGGAGTGTCCCAAGAATCTCTTCTCTTCAGCCTCACCTGCATGAATTTTTAATTTCTCTTCTTCTGAACACGGTGGGGATTTAATGACATTCTGTTTAGTACTACTCCTCAATGGTTCCATTTGAGCATGTTTTATCTTGCCAAATAGATCTTCAGCTCCTGCCAAGAAGGCACCATATCTTATTTTATGCTCCCCTTCATGTCCAGTGCAATCTTTGCATTAACTGTTGGCTGGGATTCTACTCCAGATGAGATGGACTCTCTGAGAGTCATAGCCTTCCAGTCGCCACTGCCTGTTCTTGGGCCCCACCCATCTTTATAAATCAATATTTACTTATTGATTAGTTCATGCAGAGATCTCAATTCAGAGGAGGGGACAATGTATGGGAAGGCAGGAAGAGGATTTAAAAATATACAAAATGTAGTTATTGTCCTCAAAATGCTTACAATCTATTTGCACAGAAAAAGTAAACAAAGAAGTTGGTTAAACTACAAGGAAAGAAATCTCTAAGTGTTTGCTGGGTGTTACAGACAATGTAGGAGTTCAGGAAGATATGGATACTTCCAGAGAAATTCAGCAAGACATTATCTTCAGATAAACACAAGCACTAGATGATATTTTCTTCAGAGTTAATATGATTCTTCAAGGGGAAAACTGCATCTGCCAGCTAACTCTAACTTTGCAATAAAATTATGAAATATTTTTTCAGGATAAAAACAGCAACATTTTAGGCACTGCAATAAACTCTATGTGTAATACTATCCCTAATCCTAAAAAAAAGAATTATCCCTGTTTATAAAGAAACTGTCTCCAAGAAGCTGTTACTTGCTTGCAGATGCAGAGCTAGTTATTCAATTTGAGCACAGATCTCTCTGACTCCAAATCATGGATTCTTCCTACTATGTAACTCATTCATTCATCAAACTTTTTATTTTATTTTATTTTATTTATTTATTTATTTGAGACAGAGTCTCACTCTGTCGCCCAGGCTGGAATCTCAGCTCACTGTAAGCTCTGCCTCCTGGATTCACACCATTCTCCTGCCTCAGCCTCCTGAGTAGCTGGGACTATAGGTGCCTGCCACCATGCCTGGCTGATTTTTTGTATTTTTTAGTAGAGACGGGGTTTCACCATGTTAGCCAGGATGGTCTCGATCTCCTGACCTCGTGATCCGCCTGCCTTGGCCTCCCAAAGTGCTGGGATTACAGGCGTGGGCCACCACGCCCAGCCTCATTCGTCAAATATTTATTGAGCATTTACTATCAGCATGTTTCATGCTGAAGATATAAAACATAAGAAACCATGATTTTTTTTCTTTCATGTGGCTCACAGTCCAATAAGAAGGCAATTCCATAAAGACAATTCCAACAAAATTTGGTGAGTCCAAGAATCAAGATCTGCAAGAGAAACTATGTAGCACATAAGAGGGAAATCTAATCCATCCTGGGAAATTCTGAAAGGTTGCTTGTAGCAGTGAAACTTTTTGTAAAGCCTTAATGAGTAAAATAAGCAATAATGGCTGATGTGTGTGATGGATAATTTTAGGTGTCAACTTGTCCGCATTAAGGGATACCTAGTTGGCTGCTAAAGCATAATTTCTGGGTGTGTCTGTGAAGATGTTTTGGGCAGAGATTGGCACGTGAGTCAATGGATGAGTGGGGGAGATCTGCCTTCAATGTGGCCAGGCACCAACCAATCAGATGGGAGGCTAGATAGAACAGAAAGGCAAATTTGCACTCTCTCTCTCTCTCTCTCTCCTGAAGCTGGGACACACTTCTCCTATGATTAGACATCAGAACTCCAGGGCTTTGGACTCTGAAACTTGCACCAGTGGCTTCCTGGGTTCTCAGGCCTTTGACTTCCCTGGTTCTGAGGCTTTCAGACTTGAACTGAGCCATGCTACCAGCATCCCTGGATCTTTAGGTGGTAGATGACCCGTTGTGGCACTTCTCAGTCTCCATAATCATGTGAGCCAATTCCCCTAATAAATCCTCTCTCATCTATCTATCTATCTATCTATCTATCTATCTATCTATCTATCTATTTATCTATCTATCTATCTATTCATCCTGTTGGTTCTGTCTCACTGAAGAACTCTGACTCATGCAATATGCATACTTACTAAGCAGAAAGAATATTATCCCTGACTTAAAAATGAGAAAATTGAGACACAGAGAAGTGAGCAATTTGCCCAAGTTTAAACAGTTTGTAAGTAAGTGGTAAAGCCAGGTTATGATAAACATGTTCTCTCTGAATTTCTGTCCATGCATAGGAATTTGCCAGAAAAAAATTAGACTGAAGAGGGGCATTTTTTGCAACAGAAAAATTCAGAACAAGGCACAATAAACTGCACTGTATGAGACCACACAAGATGTCCACCATGGCTGAAGCAGAAAATAGCAGGAGATGAAAATGGACAAATAGGGGCCAGATCATGAAAGGTCTTATGTGCTATGCTAAGGATGTTAGAATTTATCCCGTAAACTATAGAGGAACATCTTCAGATTTGCACATCAAAAAATGATTATGCCACCTACCTGGAGAGTGAATGTGAGGGTTAAGCCTAGAGAGAACAGAGCCCATCTGAAGGCCATTTTAATAGTGCAGCAGAGAGAAAATGAGAACGCGAATTCAGGTAGAGACAGCAAGATGGAGAGCTTGGATACAAGACATGTTTAAATAGCAAAATAGGCAGAACTTGATGATGAACTAGATGTGCCTACTTCCCTGCCCATCAGACTTTCCTGTTTTAAATAATTTGTTCAGGAAAAGAAAAACATAAAAACATGTATTTGTCATTTCATAAGTGGCTAGGCATGGTGCTAGATATGGGAGCATTACAAATGAATAACACAATTCCCATCCTAGAAGGGCCTACTGTCTGGAGTGGTGGTGAATAAGGACAAGCACAATACAGGGTTTTGTGGTTGTGATAGAAACAGGTCCAACATGCACAGGGGGTTAGCTCTGTGCATGTTGGACCATTTTGGACCACAAGGCAGGAGTGGTTAGCTCTAATCAGGAAGATCAGAGAAGGGTGGAGGGAGCGGATGATCCAAATTAAATCTGAAGAAATGTGCAGGTGCTTTCCAGTGGATCATGAATTACTTGGGCTGGATGTTTCTCCAGTGTAGAGTGACAGGAATACAGCAGAATAAACAGTTTCAGTGAATTATGCAGAGGAGGTAAGAGGGGCAGGATAAATGTGAAGAAGGCGAAGGCATCCAAAGTAGAACAGAAATTTGTTAGCTGTCAGTTCCTCTATTAAAAGACCTAAGCACAAGAGAGAAATTGAGGTCATGGAAGGATGAAGGTGGGAGACAAGATAGTGATCTGCAATCAAACTATCAGAAACACTGGGGTTTCACAGCACTGTCTGTGGCCATGCCATAACACTCCATCTAGCCTCACCTTGAGGCCAAGAGTTGATGCTCAGTATGCTTGGAGAAGTGGCTTTCTTATAATTGTAGGAGGTCATCTTGAAATTCACAGTTAGGAGTCTATGCATTAAGCAGTCCCTACTTGTTTTCTAAAGGATTTTAAATTACCGCATAATAAGTTATGTTTAGAAGCCTCACTGCTTCAGTCACAAATATTGATCTTTGTGAGCAAAGGTGCCTTTTTGGATAGATGTGTTTACACAGACATTATTTTCTCTAAATGTAATGCCCATTGCCAAAGAACAAGATTATTTATGAATATAAACTCTCAGACTTGAAAAAGAACACCTTTGTTTAACCTGTTTAATATACAACATCTATGCAAATAATTTCCAAATCTCAGGCATCTTCCTGGAAATGGCTGTCTATTACTTCTAAATTCAAATTCCTACTGCTATCTCTAAAAATCAAATAAGAAAAAGGGAAATTATTTTATTGAAATTGATCATAGACTTGCTATATGGTTGGGTCAACACTATAGCATAGGCTAAAAACCTAGCTCTTTGATTTTGAATAATCTCCATATTCTTTGTGAGGAGACTTAAAATTATTTTTTCTTAAGAAAAATAAAACAATTTGTTTAGTGAAAAAAAGTTGAATAAAGTCCTTTTAATTAGATGTATACATTAACCATGAAATTGTGCAGAATAATTATTGTGACATTTGTCCATTGATCATAATGAAACTTATAGTAAGAATGATTAGAACATAAACAAGTCAGAGAAAATATGAACCTAAGTGTCATTTGAGGCAGTTGTAGCAAGATTTAGTAAAGATTGAGCCTCCCATGATAAAAATGTTATTTTATTTTCTATAAAATATATTATTTTGTTCTCATTATATGAAGGTGGCAACTTGGAATTAGGAATCAAAAATTCTTTATCTCTCACCATCAGTCATGCCCAGTTCAATCCAGAAATATCAAAATCTCTGATCACATGCCAAACTAAGATAAATGGTAATAGAGCTTTCAGATATTCAACACCTGCAATAAAATAAACGGAGTTATGACACCAGAAAACAGCAGGTTAAGGGCTAAGGTGAGCCATGCCTTTTCACACATAATAGCATGTTTATTCATCCCACTATACCTGTCCAGTTTTCCAACAATATCTTTGTTTGTCATCACCCCACCTCCAATGAGTTGCCAAGGCCTAACATCGACCTAACGTTTTTGCTAAAAGCCTCTCAAATCTGCTCACTTTCCACCATCCTCATTGTCTCTACCCTAATCTGGGTGCTCATGACCTCTTCCTTGTCTCTTCACTGGTCCTGATGCCTCCCCTTGTGGTCTCTCCAATTGCTGTTTATACTGCTCTCCAAATGCAAATCTGGTCATAGTACTCTTCTGCTGAAGACAATTCAATGGTTCCCTGTGTTCTCCAGATAAAGTCTTATATGCTCACAATATAATATTTTTCTAATCAGACCCCTGCTCACCTCTTAATCCCCTTCTCCTTACTGATTCTTATGAAAATAGCCTGTGTTTTAGCTATCATAAACTACAGACAGGCTCTCTTTCTCTGAGGCCTTTCCATCCATTGCCCCCTCTTACTAAGAAACCATCCCTGCCATATTTCTGCCATTAATATGGCTAATTCTTACTTAACTTACAGGTTTCCTCTCAGATAGTAGCTCTTCCAGGATGCCTTCTACTCTACCTGCTTTGATATGTCCATAGGAATTGATTATCATCAATTTGGTTTTCCCTTTTAGCTTCCGTAACACATCAGTAAGTATTCTTTGAAAAAATGAGAAAATCCAAATCATTTTGTTTCACGACTGGGTTGGATGTAGCACTTGTGTGAAAAGATACAACATAGTAACAACAAATTAAACCACTCAGCTTTGTATCCCAGATTCCAATGCTTGGAAACACATCTACCCAGGCCATGTTAACTCTACACGATCAAGGGTTGACAGGGGCCCTGATATCACTAAAACCAAGTCCCATAAGTATAAAAATGGGTTTATATTTTCCAGAAAGCCAAAGGCTTGAGGTTGCCAAAAGATCTCTCTAGTTTTATTAATATAAAAATTAACCTTTATTGCTGCAGGATCATCCCAGTGACATGTAGTCTGAAAGGTAATCAACTGCTTCCTTCTCACAGTGTCTAGTAGCCACCTAGCTAAAAGAGGGCAGAGCATCACACAGCTCTAACACGCTTCCTGTTCTCTAAATCTAAACAAGCATGATAACCAGAAGCAAATTCAATCAAAAGAAGTATTACTACTTTCTCAAATGACTAATACAAAACCAGCTATTTAACAACAACAAAAAAAAATACTTTAGAACCCATTTAAGGTTTGGAGTTACCTTAAATGGGTTCCCAAAGTATTTTTTTTTTGTTGTTAAATAGCTATTTTTTAATGAACCGGAGACTTCACAATATTAAAGCTTAATCTGGTATAAGCCAGTTGGCATCAAGATAAACTATACCTGTCCAATTTAGAAGAATCATTTAAATAAAACATCTAAGGTTCAACTCTCAAACACAGTATCTAAGCTATGGTTTTGAGTGTGACATGTGGGAAAAGAGGTAAAGTATGACTATTCTCTGCTTGCTTTGATGGTACAGAGGTAACAAGTATGGTAAGCACAGTTTTAATTAACCTTTCCAGAAGAAGCCATAATCCACATGGATTTTTATTAATCCTCCCTGCCAACCTGCTATTCTATGCCATATATAGTAGACTGCAGAAAGCTGAGCTACGTTACCAAGCGTGGTTGGAACTATGATGATCCACCCAGGTTCCCTCTTCAGGGTTAAAGCCTACTGCCCTCAGCTTTGAGGAATACCATCTGGTAAAAGCTTACAGATGTAACCCTGACAGAGAAATGCTCTTGGCTACAAGCAACTACCTCACTAAATACTTCTCAGGGGAGAGCCACAGTCAATGCCCAACACACGCCAAGGAATAAAGTCCCCTTTGCTTCAATTTGGAACAATTCTTAGAGACATCTCCTTTCCAGAGCTCCCTGTAAGCTCTCCCAAGACCTCAGTTGCATTGTGAGTCAGCTTTCCCCTCTACCCTATCTTCCTTTTCTCATCTCCTCACAGGTGCAGTTCTGGAGAGCACATCTCAAAAAATCTTTACATATAACTCTTCATCTCAGAATTCTACTTTCAGCCAGCCTAATGTAAAACCCACCTCTATAATTATGTAAGGCAAACACGGTGGCATATAGTAGTTTTGCTGACTTTATCAGTAGCTGGTCCTAATATCAGTCTTGGTCTTCCATTAGAAATCTGAACCTATTCACTGAGACAGAGACAAGATCTGGAATTTAATCTATGCTAAATGGCTCCAATTCCATTTAAATGCAACAAAATTTAGAAGCCAAATCATTGGTATTAAAATTTATCTAATTTTATCATTACCCAATTATAAGAGGGGTAAGAGTCCAGAAGAAATTCTCATTGAAAGAGCACAAAAAGAAAAGGATAATAAGAATGATTTATCCATAATAGATTACCATGTTTTCATAGATAATGGGAAATGTATTTTGTTCAACTTATAAAAACCCAGTTGGGCCTTTTCTAACCAAAATAAAAAGAATGGTTACAATAACATCTATTTTTCATGTTCTCAATTAATCTTTTAAAATCTGCTTTGAATGTTAATGAAAAGTTGCCAAGGAATCAACCGATTCTTTTATTTCATCCACTTCTCGATCCACAGGGTCTAAAAGGATTCTAGGTTTGGAGGCTTTGTCTTCTTGATTTTGAGTATTGTTGTTGTTTTAGTAGCACTACTTTGAAGAGTAGAAATTAAATAAGTTGGTCCACCTGACTGTGGTCTCATTTTTCTAAGCCGATGAAAACCTAAGCTTCTTTTCTAGAACATTTGGACACAAAACAAACTAAATAGAAAGGGAACCCCAGAGAAAAAATGGTGATGTGCCTCTCTTTTAAGACAATATAATTTTTAAATATACATAGACGTTGTCACACAGAAAAAAAGCAGTATTGCCCACAAAAATAAATCTTGTTTTTTGCTTGTTTAAGTAGAAATTCTATCAAGTACAGATAAAGCACTAACTTGACCATGGTTTCTTATAGCCAAATGCCAGGGCCTTACTTTTCTTGGGGAAAGGGGTAGATGCAAATGGGGACAGAGACCCATTCTTTTATGTTTTCTGGGAGCGGGGAACTCTACTAGTCCTGAATCTGAAGTTAGCTCCAGAGGCAGCCAAACCTTGAACTCTAGCTGGGTCTGAGTTTGCTGTGTTAAGTCTGCTTGGGACAAGCTTCCAGCCGATGGAGAATTCACCAGACCTTGTATCCTTAGCTTCCTAAGTGCACTGGTAGTTCCAGGCCCAGACACTGCACACAGGATTCACCACCCATGTAGCTGTGGCTTGCCACCTCCTTCCAAAGCTCTTGGAAAGCCCAGTGTGGCCAGGCAGAAGGACATGGAAGGTTCCTAGTCCCCATTACAGTCCATAGGGCTCTAATAGGTGGCAGCTCCAGGTCAGAGACACTTTCTGGAAGGGTTCTGATGTGAAAGTACCTGGACTTCATCCAGCACTTCCCTCTACTAGGTGCTGCCAACCCTGAGTTTGAGTCAGGCCTCAGGCATGGTGAGGCATCTGATGTCTTAGAAAAGTGGAGCCAACTTTGAAAACTGGGCTGGAAAGTTACCATTATTAAAGGTTTGATTTGACTCACCATGACCTGGTCCAGGGTGGACCCATGGCATGTGATCTGTGCATTCACATGGGGCCCTGCACTTAGAAGACTAACGGGTCCAGTTTAATGCTCTTGTATCCCTGTCTAGAAATCCTTACTTTTGACCAAGAGGCCCCACATTTTCATTTAGTATTGGGCCTAGAAAATGTACCCAGTCCTGGCCTGGCCTTTATTAAGGCCATATTTAGACAAAATAATTGCCAACTTAACAGAAGGACTGCATCAGCCATTCACCACTGTGCGTGTGTTTGTGTGTGTGGGGGGTGTGTGTGTGTGTGTGTATGTGTGTGTTTACAGAAACTGAAAAAATGTTTTGGGGTTTTTGTCTTTTTTTTTTTTTTCTGTTTTTGTTTTTGTTTTGTTTTTGAGACGGAGTCTCGGTCTGTCGCCCAGGCCGGCGTGCAGTGGCATGACCGAGGCTCACTGCAAGCTCCGCCTCCCGGGTTCACTCCATTCTCCTGCCTCAGCCTCCCAAGTAGCTGGGACTACAGGCGTCCACCACCACACGCAGTTAATTTTTTGTATTTTTAGTAGAGACGGGGTTTCACCGTGTTAGCCAGGATGGTCTCGATCTCCCGACCTCGTGATCCACCTACCTCGGCCTCCCAAATCGCTGGGATTACAGGCATGAGCCATCGTGCCCAGCCTTTTGTCTTTTAAGCAGAGAGTTGCTTTAAAAATTATAAAATACTTCATCAAGATATTAAAGGATAGGAAATGTTAACACAAACATTCAATGTCTAACATTCACTTGAGATCAATCAGAAAAAGAAGACTATCTTTGAATATATAGTCTAAATCAAGAGAAAATATTACATATTTACAGAAAATCTATAAAACACACATCTTTATAGGAACATCTGTCTTCCACTGGATAATGTAGGCCAGCACTCTAACTTCAGTCTAGGAAATAGTTGCACTTTTACTTCCTAACATTGCTCATGCCACATAACACTTCTCATTACCATAAGACAAACCATGCATGCTCCATTCTAGTGAGGAAAAGTGGCTGAGGCTGAAAACTTTCAGGATTTTGGAAAAACACTTGTATGGGGAGATCTAAGGCCTAATTCTGGTACTGCAATTGTGTAACCGAGGACCTGACAAGATCCCAGCAGGTGTAGTTTCTTATGGAAGCACCAAGACTGTGGCTAGAATATACTATTTTAATCCCAACTGAAAGTAAAAGAAATATTTGACACTTGGGGATAAAAGAAAATGATTGAGAAGAGTCAATGTAGCCCTCCTCTCACTGTTGTGCTTCAACAAGGGAGGAACACAACAATAACCTGCTCACTTTTGAACTTTTGTAGTCATTGCAATCTTTCCTGTCTACTGATTATTGTTTCATTTACAAACGAGAAACATTTTATATAATCCAGTACTGATCACATATTTAATCTTTAACTTTGTTTTTCTTTTTCAGGTTTTTGCTTCCCTGAAGAGCTGAGCATCTAAAGAATGTGATAGGCAGTGTCAACGTGCTTTCAGATCTTTACACTATACATATTTTGGTACCCACATGCTAAAAAGTCAAATATACTTTGATTTTCAATGCTTAAGGGATTTACTCACTCAAAAATTAAATTAAAATAGCTCATCTCCCAGAAAAACAGAACTTGTTTAGAATAGGACGAAATAGGAAAACCTACTTTGGCCTAAGATTGAACCATCCAGAAATGTATACTACAATGACTTGATATACACAAGACTGTTGAGATCATTCTGACTCACGGCAAAAAACCATTTTGTAGGTATTCCATTAGAAATCCACTTTCAGGACATATCACATTCAAAAGCTTGATCAACCTTATATCTTGATCCTCAGATTATAAACCGTTGCTGGTATAAATAAAATATACGAAACCCATTTTTCATCTGTTCACTGTAGCCTACATGATATTTTATGAAATTAGTATCAATTACACAGGCTGATGTTAAAATATTAACAACAATATTAAGAATCTATCATATATATTTAGGTATATATAAATGTTAACAAAATATTAACCAAAGTTTTCAGAAGTAGAAAAAAGTCTATTTTTCTCCTAGTTTCAAATAAAGAAATATAGAAATTCTTAAATACTAAAAATAAAGCCTTTGGAAAGATAAATAACAGTGTCTCAGAGATTCTTAAAACAAGCTCTTGTAATGAGTACCAGACAACCAGCACAGGACTTGTGGGTGGGTGCGGGGAGGAGATAAGAGAATCAGAAAATGCCAGGTTTAGAAGGAAGCTTCAAGGACATCTAATACGACTATCTTTTTGAAGTCTGAATCCTTTCTACAACATCCTAGTCAAGTGTTCATTAAGCTACCCTTCTGACTGATCAAGAGTTCACTGCTCACTGAGGCAGCCAATTCCCTCTTAGAATATTAGAAGAGCTTTTTTTTCTATCAAGCTAAAAACATGCCCATTACTTTCCCCCACTGGCCATCTAGAACAGGTCCAATTTCTTTCTTTTATGGTCTCTCCTATGGGATGAGCCACTGAAAATGGCAGACATTCTCATTGAGTCTTCTCATTTACATCCCATGGTTTTTCAACTATGTTCTTCAACTAATGAGTTTAATCTCATCATTATACCGTTAATATCCAGTTTGTTAATGTTTCTATTAAAATAGGAACCCATAAGAGAACAGCAAACTGCTGGGCATAGCCCACACTGGAAATAGCAAAGCAAAGCTTCCCTCCCTCTTCTAGATAATTCACATCAATTCCTGCAGCCGAAGATCATAATCACTGTTTTGGTGGCTATGTCATACATGTTGATGCAAACTGAGCTTTATGTTGGCTAAAATCTTAAAACCTTAAAGTCTTAGCTTTTAACTTATTCAATAAGTATTTGTGGATTGTCACTATGTGGGTATTACAATACTAAAAACAGTATGAGAAATCAGTGTGATATAACCAAAAGAGGTAGGATTCTGGGCCCAAGCCCCACTTTATCCAGCTATATCTATGTAGGAAGGACAATTGTTAGAGCTACTTAATTTTCATAATAGGATAACTATCTCACTACTTTCATAATAGGATAACTATCTCTCTGTTCCAAAGCATATGGATGGGCCCTTAGCCAGCAATTTAGAATACTAGCACTCCAGGATATCCAGCTCTCATCCAAATACCTACTGAGAGAAGAAATGTTCAGGGAAGATAGGTCCAAGACCTTACAAATTCAATCTTTGGTTAATGTTGTCACCAGAAACATACATATTGGGAACCCACAACACCTTTCTGATCAATTTCATTGACTCACATTTACTACTTTGTCCTAATCTTTGACAGAGGTTGTTATGAGAAATAACCACATAAAATTCATATCCACATTGTTATTTTTTATAACTGAGGTACTGTCCATTTTGTTACTCAGAGTCCTTCTCAGTGCTAGCAAAGGCTCTGTTCTCTTCAAGGAATCAGATGGTTCTGATTTTTAATGATGGAAATCATTAGAATGGTTTTACATATTTAAAAAATTAAATCTTAAAGACAGGACCGGGCGTGGTTGCTCATGCCTGTAATCCCAGCACTTTGGGAGACCGAGGCGGGCGGATCACGAGGTCAGGAGATCAAGACCATGCTGGCTAACACGGTGAAACCCCGTCTCTACTAAAAATACAAAAATTAGCCGGGTGTGTTGGCGGGCGCCTGTAGTCCCAGCTACTCAGGAGGCTGAGGCAGGAGAATGGCGTGAACCCGGGAGGCGGAGCTTGCAGTGAGCCGAGATTGCGCCGCTGCACTCCAGCCTGGGCAACAGAGCGAGACTCCGTCTCAAAAAAAAAAAATAAAAATAAAAATAAAAAAAACTTAAAGACAGAAATGAAAGGCTATAAGAAATGATAAGAAAAAATGTCATTTGATACATATACAAATAGTAAAAAGTATTTGTATTTTCCACTTCATCAATAACTGAGAAGGGATCCAGGAAAGCAAGATGAATAATTCTAACTGGGTCTTGTTAAATGCATCATTAACTTAACGTCAGGTTAATGTCATTCAGTTGCCCCTATGTCACCACTTCCCAAATAATCAGCCTCCATAAAATGGCAAAGGCTCTAAGACCAAATGAACCTAAGAACTACCAGGAGAACTTATTTTAAAGTTTTGCATTTTAAAATAAATTCCCCATATAATTGGGATGCAAGTGAAACACAGAACACACTTTGAGAACACTCTTCCAGGACCAATTTTGGATAACTTGAATAAACTCTGTCACTCTTCCCTGGATCCTCTACTGTCTGTGTAGGTCCCTTTTAATGTCTGGTCACCAAAGATACGTACGGTATTCTATTAAGGAGTTACTGAAGCAGGGCAGATGAAAGGATTATGTCCCTTCCCTTATATAGCCACCACAAATACATTCACGAGTGTTGATAGGCATGCTCGCAAAAGCAGTGCTTCATTCTGGCTGTCAGATTGAGGTCAATTACTTATTTTGACTCTCCTGAGATACGAGAGCGTAAAATGCATTAAAATGAGTCCAAATCAAAATCAAATGAAACTATAGTGTTGTACCGGACTTTTTCCTCAACTGAACCAGTTGCAATCTTTTTAATATAACCTATTCCACCTTTAAGATAAAGAAATTATCTTTAAAGTAAAATGGAAAATCTGGCAACCTCCTTGAGTAAACTTATTCTTGCAGAAAGTAAGATTTTTGTCATTTTAAAAATTATAAAGATTTTTAATTCAAACAACATTACTTTAGAGTATTTACAGACAAGTAGTCTGTTGTCTTAATGGTCTCAAGGAATAGATTTATAAACAATCAAAATATTACAAGCAAGAGTAAAGAAACTTTACTATTGCCATCTCACTCACCGTTTCATAGATAAGTAAATCATTCCGTGACACAGAAACTGATGTTTTACCATAAAGTGTTCTACTTGGACCACCTATGTGATTTAGCAAAAGAAAGAAATTTAGAAACTAAAAGTGACTGATCACTTACAGTATGTCAACTGGAAATTCACAATAAATGTCTACATAAAAGGTTCAAGTACTCATTTAAGCTTCCAGAATCAATTTAAAAGTAACCACTTCCTAGATACTGCTAACCAATACATTCTAGCCTTATATACACTGCAACATGTCTAGATTGACTCAAAAAGGTATTATCAAATGAACAAAGTGAGATATCCAAAGTGTAAATTCAGTTTCTCAAATTGAGTGATTTTACTCAAAAAATGGCCAGACAGAAATTTCATAAGTCTTTCAATTCAAGGGAAATCAAGCTAAGACTGGTTGGGGCAAGATTCACTGTCCTAGGCTATTTGCATTTTCTATCCAGCATGTCTTTAATTTTATAAATTTCATGCTGTTTGTTTCCATGGTTACCAGCTCTTAATCATAATGAGCACCTGGTCTACACAGGGGAATTAATATTTCCCTGTGAAATGCACATACTGAATTGTTAGTAACCTCCCTACATTTTTGCAGGGACTAGTTTAAACTCTTGACCCCTAGCAAAGATTTTCTTTTTTTTTTTTTAACTTTTGAGCTTTGGGGGCACATGTGCAGGTTTGTTACATAGGTAAACACGTGTCATGGGGGTTTGTTGTACATATTCTTTCATCACCCAGGTATTAAGCTCAATACCCAATAGTTATCTTTTCTTCTTGCAAAGATTTTCAAAGGGTCTCTTTAACTTTCTTTTTGAATTTTGTATATTATATGGACTTCAGTTATTTCATGATAATTGAAATTTTCCAACATTTCACAATCTATGTTGACAGGGAACATCTATGCTCGTTAGTATGTGTGCTTTTGCGCCTGGGTCAGATATACTTCAATTTTTAAAAAAACACTTTTTTGTACATATTTATTAAATCTCAGTCAAAATCCACTGATAAATTAGGTGAATACTGGCACCCCCTCATTCACCACACTAGGGCCTAGAGGGAAGTACACAAACACCAGCAACCCCTCAAGTAGTCAACATGATTAGGCTTCCTAAGCGACATTAGAACACCTTATTAAAAAGAAAATTAAAATGGTTTTTGATCCTGTGGACATTTTCCACATAACAGTATGTGGACAATGATTAAAAGTATAAAGTTTGTCATATTTCCTGGATATATACCACTCACTAGTTATGTGACCTGGTGTAAATTACTTAACTATGCCTCAATTTCTTCATCAGAGAATAATAATAGTATCCAGTTCACAGGATTATTTTAAGGAGTAGAGGGGCTTATATTTATTAATGTGTGGAATAGTTACTGGTGCATATTAGTCACTATTTTAAGTGTTTGTTAAATATAAATGTCAATCAATCAATCTGACCCTATGCAGCATGAAACCATGTTTTCTAAGAAAATCTTTTTTTCCATAATAAATGTTTGTTCATCTCTCATGATGTAAGCTAATTCTGATTTTAAATTTCCTTGTGTAGCACTTAATAAATATTATTTGATCAGCTACTTCCATCTCTGAAAGGTCGTCTGTTGCCAATAATAGTGTCACTTACACTGACCACACTGAGCCACTTTACATGTCACCTCATTCAATCTGCATTAACAACCCTATGAAGATTGGTGATCCCCTTATTACAGATGAGAAAACTCAAGTTTCAGGAAGTTAGATAATTCGCACAGGTTTACAGAGTTAGAAAGTGGCAGAGGTAAATTTGGAATCAACCTCTGATGATCTCCAAACCCTGTCTTAATCAGTCCATTACCACGGATAAAGTGCTATATAGATAATGTCACAACTTTTCAAAACTAGAACTTTGTCATATCCAGTAATTTTTAACCTACTCCAAGAAGATCAGCAATATAAATAAAAGTGGAATCTGTCATGCCTATGAGTGGGGTTTCTCTACTTCCCCATCCTCCACAAGCTTCCGTGTGTGATTGATTCCCACAGACAAATGACGATCACCAGTGGGAGTAAGGACCACATACATAATGGGCTCTAGGTGGTGCCTGGAACTTTGCCCAAAATGACCTTTTGCACCTCTCCCATACACTTCTGTAAATGCTGGTACAAGAGGTACTTAGCCTCAGGAGACGTTTTCTGCAGTAGTTGAACAGCTCTGGAAAGTGTAGCTTCTCCCATCCTTTTGACCTAATGAGTAGTTAGTTCTAACATTCTCAGTGATTAGTCCTATTAATGATGGGAAATACTGACTAGGTCTGGGTTGGTCTTTTTTAATTGTGAAGCTCCAGTAAAATGTTTCGACTCACTTGGCTTGGCTCAATTGCTAATGAGGAAGTCTGGGTTTTATAAATTCCCTGACACACACCAGTCACTGCAAAATCCTGATATTGGCCTGTCCTGCATCCTCTGATGGATCCCAGAGGTGCCTTCCTTCAGGGCCTACCAATGACTCACTTCTAACAGAAAAATGAGCAGAAGCCACTTCCTTTTTTTTTTTTTTTTTTTTCCTGAAACCATTTCTGGGTAACAACTGATGGAAAATTTTGCTCTCCACTGCTCAGGTAAGTAACTAAAGTAAAGTGCTTTAAGTATCATTGGTGCCATTGATCTCTATTTCAGTAAAGGATGGTGTAGGTGCAGATTTGTTTGAATCGAAAGACTAAATTATGGATTCTATAACCCTAGACACTTAGTGTCAAAAGAACAACTACATAGAAGCCTGTAGAAACATTCATACAGCTTGGGAAAAATGGGAGTGTAGCATTGCTTCAGAAAATTGGTGGTTCACATTGCTACCAGAGATGTTCACAGGCAGAACTTGTAGTTGGCAGATGACGGACACAGAAGCAGCTTCTCATCTATCATCGCCTTTTTTAGAAGAGAGACCAAACATGTACAACATGGCAGTTATTATCCTGGTCAGCAATCTAGCCAAAATATCTAACCTGGTTTACAGCTAGGAAATAACAGTTCACTGAGATAGAGTGAAGGCATGTTAAAAATCACACAGTAGGAGCAGGTCAAAGCAGTGAAGGAGATTATCATATTCATGGTACTCCAGAAATTAATCCTTGCAACTACATCAGCTATTACTGGAACCCCGCCCCCGAGATCGACATTTCCCAATATAATATATATTTCACAAACTAATAAAAACCATCATAATTTAAAGAGAAAGTTTCTTGCCACTTACAGACTCTTTAAACTTAAAACCAAACCATTATCTTTAATGTTGACGTGCCTAGAAACAAGTCTGTAACAATACTAACTTTAAAGTAGTCTCTGCTGACTTCAGCTAACTAAAATAAACACATAAGGAAAAATAAACATGTAGGGAAAAACAAAATGTTCACAGTAGGATATGAGAGAATATTTTGGAAGCTATAAAAATATAACTCCTATTCCAAATATAATTGATTACAAAGGCACGAAAGTAGCTCAAAACAAAGGATGAAATGAACAAAACCTTGTTAAAATAATCAAGGTTAGAGAAACAATGCTGACGTTATTGTGCAGTTATTCTCAGATTTCCAATTTTCTAGTCACCTTGGTTTGGTTTATTTGGCACCTCTCGGTCTCTCATAAGATCTTGTTGGCATATTTATCTAGTCAAATCATTATTATTATTAGGCAACATTACTGAGCACCTGCTGGGTGCCGGTTAGGAGCCAAGAATATAAATCTTTGCTAGAGAGACTAGGAACGTGTAAGAAAAAGGGTAACCGACAACACAAGAATACATGCTAATTATTGGCATTGAACTGAACGTACCTGCATTATCTAACAGACTGAACCAGGGGACTTTCAGACCAGGCAGGTGGCTTCACACCCAACCCTCATCATTAATAATTTATAATGTAAGGATAGCAAATAAATTTTCAAATCAGTAAATATGAAAGAGTTCAGAAGATCAGATGACTAGAAAGGTTCAGTAAGGAGTTCACAATTAGCAGACAATTGAAAGAGCGCCTTTCAGAAAGGTTACGACTTACATATACAAATAACTAATTCTTGTTTTATGATTTAAAAGCAGTATTTTTACATCTTTTCACAAATATGTAGGGACATTTGGGGCTGAGGTTTCACAAAAACATAGGTGGGAAGGAATCACCGCAGTGCACTCCTGAATAGATTGTCACTTTAGGACCTGAATCCTGAGAGATCTTCTGCAACAGGGCTAAACCCATTTTTCCTAAACTTTATTTTGCACTACAAATGTTTTTTAACCTTTTACGATATGTCTTATTAACCGCGCTTTTTCCCCATTGACTAAAAAATTAATAAATGGCATATGTTTCATTAGGAAGATGGTGACAGAGATTTCCTGCTTCAGAAACGTTGGAAGCCACTGGTTTAAAAGCACCCGGAACAGAGGGCTGTACTTGGGTTCTCTCTCCCCGCTGTGTCATTTCAGTCGAAGAAAAAGACAAAATTACATGTGCGCCTTACAGACTCAACAGGGTAGAAAACACTTGCTATCATTTCTTTTATTTTGAAGTGAGCTTTTATATAAACACACGAAACCATCTATTTAATAGTAAAACGTTGGGCAGGGAAAGGAAGTCCCGCGCGTTCGCGACTCTTCGCCTCCGCTAGAGCGTGACCGTCACGCCCTCTGCTACTTATAGGGGGAACGCGCCGGGGCATCATAGGAGTCGGCGGCGGCAGGGATTGTGGGAAATGTAGTTTGGAGACTCCGCCCTCCTCGCCATTCCTGTAATGGCTGCTTCCTAGAAGGTAATGTACGAACTCGTCTCCAAAGGATACTTAGGTTGCACCAGTGTATTTGTAAAACAGGAGCAAATTTGGACCTTGCCGGGCCAAAGTACGAATTCTTTTTCAAATCTTAATATCAAGTCCTGAAATGAAATTATCTCTGTTCTGTTTCTTTTTACCTTTTCTTGTGTGGGTGAACTGACCAACTTTTAAGTCTAGTTCCCTGTTGGACAGACTTTTCTCAACTCATTACCTATCCCCCTACCGTCCATATGGCCTCCACGCTCTGCACTGACTCTAGCTGCCTCTTTAAAATAATAATAGTAATAATAATTAATTTTTAAATCCTTCTCTCCGCCCCCTCCCCACCCCCCATGCTAATAATAGGTCGTGTCACGTGGAACCTCTTAATCTCAGCATCCGGAGCTCCAGGAAGGGAAAATTTCAAGTCAGATAGAATTCTATATATACCATTTCTTTGGTAAGTCTTATTAATTCCCCACAACTTCGCAGAGTTATATGTTGTGTGACTTTTGCCAAATTTGTCTGCATTTCTTGGATGGGAGAGACCCTAAGAAAATGTACAATTTTTACCCACTAGGATATTTTAAGTTTCCAAGTTAGTGGCTCGTGCTTTTTTTCTGTTTGTTCTTAATTATGAACTCCTGTTCAATTTTTGTTTGGTTGATGCACGAGGTGTTGGCATTATCGTGGAAAATTCCTGGGTTTAGAGTGTTATCACGAGATAGGGAGATGAACCTCAAATTACTGTCTTTAACGTCCCTCTGTTTTTCCACCTATAAGATGAGGAGATGGATTGGAAATGATTCATAAAGTATCCAAAAGATTGGCTGGCCTGTTATTTGTCATGTGTTCATTTTGTCATTTGAAAAGGGAGGAATTTTTAATGGTTCCTTTTTGTTTCCATGTTTAATTTCTAGGAACCTTCAGCCCTCAAGATTCCAACATCATGACCTCAGTTTCAACACAGTTGTCCTTAGTCCTCATGTCACTGCTTTTGGTGCTGCCTGTTGTGGAAGCAGTAGAAGCCGGTGATGCAATCGCCCTTTTGTTAGGTGTGGTTCTCAGCATTACAGGCATTTGTGCCTGCTTGGGGGTATATGCACGAAAAAGAAATGGACAGATGTGACTTTGAAAGGCCTACTGAGTCAAACCTCACCCTGAAAACCTTTGCGCTTTAGAGGCTAAACCTGAGATTTGGTGTGTGAAAGGTTCCAAGAATCAGTAAATAAGGGAGTTTCACATTTTTCATTGTTTCCATGAAATGGCAACAAACATACATTTATAAATTGAAAAAAAAATGTTTTCTTTACAACAAATAATGCACAGAAAAATGCAGCCTATAATTTGCTAGTTAGGTAGTCAAAGAAGTAAGATGGCTGAAATTTACATAAGTAATATTTCATAATCTTAGAATTCTCTCAAAGCATGTGAAATAGGAAGAAGGAAGTTCTTGCCCAGAATCTTAGGAAATCACCACTGTTCGGTTATAATCACTGCCTCCTGAATCGTTGAGGAGTCTTTTAAATTAGATTTTTGTTTTGTTGTCTCCCAAGTTAATATTATATTTAGATATCAGAGAGTCAGGCAAAAAGGAAAACTTTTATCTCTAGGGAAAAAACATTTAGAAAAATGTATTCAGTGTATCTAATACTGAAATGCGGAAAAAAATTTAATGTTAAAAAAAAACTATAGACATTGACATGGAAAAGAGATTTAATGTTTTGAAAAAAAACTTTATATTAACTGAGTAACATCCTCCTGATGAGAAGTACTATATTAAATATAAACCCATTATGTTATAAGTTAATGTTTCGTGTCCATTTCTTATTTGGGGCTGTTTGTATCCATTGTGGATTTTTATATGAGCTAAGTGGAGAAGGGCAGGATGCCTTGTGTTAACTGATTGCGGTAGCTTGAAGAGACATAATGAGAACTGGGCAGCATTAAGGTCAGAGAAGCCCCTGATAGAAAATCTAGAAATATAGAAGGAAAATGAAATGGCTTAAACTGATTTGTACGCCAGCCAAACGAAATATCCTCTCTGGCCTAGCTACTTAAAGTGTCTTCAAGCCAGCAACATCACCTGGGGCTTGTTAGAAATGCAGAATCTCAGGCCCCACCCAGACCAATTGGATCAGGAACAGCATTCGTTTCCAAAGCCCAAGTTAATTTGTATGCACATTACAAATTTAAGAAGACTGCCAACTTGCTTGAGCCCAAGAATCATTCCAGGCACTTGATAAGACTTTTTGATTCCCTGGTCTTTCTCCTGGTTGTATAGCTGTGAGATGGGGCCTGGAACTCCATGTCTAACAAGGGTCCTCAGTGATTCATTTGATTCTCAAGTTGTAGCCAGCATAAAGTAGTCTAAGGAAATCAAACTTTAGGGTCACACTGGAGGTAAGTAGTGAAATTTTTTCCTAAAATGCATTTTCCAATCTGTAGCTCTCCAGATGACATTGGGAGCCTCATTTTTTATCCAAAAACAGGCACTAGCAACCTAAAGTCCTGTTTATGGTGTAATTCTAGAGTGAGCTGACTTGGCTTGCATGAAAGTTTTGGTTAAAGTGTACAAGGAGTGAAGAAGCATCACAGAATAAAGACATGGAAACTGAATGCACTTGTTTTTGTCACAGCTGTTTCGATTTTTTGCTAGAGGAAGCACTAACAGTCTTTATTCAAATTAATTGGCAGTTAAACATTTCATAATTAATATAGCTTGATTGTACCTGCATTTTTTTGTGTGTTTTAAAGAAGGAAAAAGGAATGATGCAAGTTATAGAACAATTGTCATCTCTTATACTCCAGCCCATTGGGTGCTGATGTAGAAAGGCTGCTGCGGCTTCCTTGCATGTCAACTTTTCCATTGGGATGGGAGAAATCAAACCTAAAGTACATTTTAAATCACAGTGCAGTAGTCACTTAGTCACCTCCAGGTACTGTTTTTAAAATGTTCAAAATAAGACTATAGGCAAACATTCTTTGGTCAACGTGTATTTCCAAAAGTGCCTAGAAAGAATTAGAAAACTGCCATTTCCCTATTTTCCCCTTAAAAGTAGAGAATTGTCTTGAGGTGGCATGCAGGAATTTTGATGGATATGATGGGGGAACACCTCCTCTAAAAATAGCCTCATTTCTCATCTATTTAGGTTGGATTATATGGCTTTGCCTGAAAAGAACAGAACCCTTATGGTGGCTCTTAACATTTTTAGGCCACCAGTTCCTTTGAGAATCTGATGAAAGCTATCATCTTTTTCTTTAGGAAAATTCCCATGCATGCTGACATTTTTAGATTAGTTTCAGAGCTGAAGCCCATCCAGGATCTTTCCAATTCTAAAATTCCTTGATTTTCTATGAGGGATAACACCTGCTGTGGAGCAGTTACAGCAAGAATGGCATTAGCAAATATTCTGATGCCCAGCACAATTTGTAGATATCTAGTAAATGCCTTGTGCATGTTAGCTCACTGAGTTGAGTTAAAAATAGTTGAGATCAAGTGAAGAATTTAAGGTCCTTGCAAATACTTATATTTCTGTTCTCTGTAGTTTTAATGTAACCAGCTTAGTTCTCTAATGCTAAAAATCAGTACATTTCCTGCATCATTTCTCTCTTAACTGCTTTCATAACTCTTCTTTGTCATTAATTTTTAGAAGTTTGTGATATATCTCGGCATGGATATATCTTTGGGTTTATCCTGTTTGGGGTTCACTCGGTATCTGAGACTTACAGTTTTATTCTTTTTTCCCAAATTCAGGAAATTTTCAGCCATTCTTTCTTTTTACAAAAATTTCGCTCCACTTTCATTCTCCTTTTCTTCTAGGACTCCAGGGACCCAATATTAGATATTTTTGTTATAGTCTGATGCATACCTAAGGCTCTATTTATTTTTTCAGTCCTTTTTTTCTCTTATTCAGATTGGGTAATTTCTAGTATTGTATGCTTAAGTTCACCGTTTCTGCTGTTGTATTTTTTGTTCAAAACTTTCCATTTTGTTCTTTGTGTCTTGTGTTTCTTTGTGGAGACCTGTTTTTTCATTTGTCTCAAGCATGTTTGTGATTGTCACTGAAGCACCTTTTCATGGCTGCTTAAATCCTTAATAATCCTAACATCTCTGTCACCTCGGTGTTTAGCATCTGTTGATTGTCTTCTCATTCAAGTTGAGATCTTCCCAGTTCTTAGTATGATGATGATTTTTCTATTGACATTTGGACATTCTGGGTATTATATTTAAAAGGCTGTGGCTCTTATTTAAATTTTGTATTTTAACATTCCTCTGACACCACTCCTTCGTAGAAAGGGAGGATGCCTCCTCCTTCCTGCCAGATGCAGGTGGAAGCCTCATGACTGCTCCTCCTATACCCTCCACTGACACTGGTGATAGGTTGCCTTGTTACCACCAGGTGGGAGTGGAGTCCAGGCTACCCACATGGTCTTCATGGGTACCAGCGTAGAAGAGGGAGGTTCTTACTATCAACTGGTGAGGATGAAAGTGCCAGCTCCCCACCCAGCCTTCTGTGATACCTCAGTGGGGAGCCTGGAACATCTACAGCCTGGTGAAAGTGGAGGTCTTGGCACTCCACTCAACCTTTGCTGATGGTGGAAGTGGGGCTACAATTCTAAAAGTTTTCTGTTTCACTAAGCTACACCTTTCCTATACCTTTAAATACTAGAGAGAATAGTCTTGTTTGGTTTCCCACCCCCCCACCCTTTTTTTTTTTCGGTCTAAGCCCGTTGGCCTTTCTGTGCTACCAACTTCTCCAGTTCTCAATCTGAAACAGGAAGAAAAAAAAAAAAAACCAGCTAACTCACCACTTTGTTGTTCCTTTGCTCTTGAGGTACCCAGCTGTTGTGCCTTCTTTCTGCCTTTCAGAATCCTATGTTTGTTTTATACATAATGTCCAGGGTTTTTAGCTATATTTAGTGGGAGGAAAAGGAAAAAAGATGTCTACTCCATCTTTCTAGAAGTATAAGTCTTGGTGCATATTTAAAGAGGGAATTTTCTGAGCTACTCCAGAGATGGAGAGATAAAACACCAGGAAAGTGATTACTTCAAGGTATTTTACTCACAGACTTTTGTCCCGTCATCTCCCACATCCACCTTCCCCTCTTCACCCATCCAGCATATTGTTTATTCCTACCTTAACCCAACAGTCTCAACTAGGGAGTGAGACTAACCATCAAGAAATGCAGGGACGTAGATGAAGTTTGAGAAAATGGGCTGTATTCATATTTTGTCTCAGCATTGAGACTGCAAGTGGGAGCTTCTTGAAAAACTGATGTGATACCAATTGTGCCAACTAGCCAGGTCCAGGAAATCTCAGAAGCTACACCTCACATGCACCTGTGTCCTGCTGGGCTTTCTAGCTCTGTACCAGCTTATCAAATGCCATTTCCAACCTTGGATATAGGAATGGTAATGCAGCTATATAGCCTGCAGCACATAATGAATGGAGGAGAATTTTCTGCATATGACCCATCTCCCAGCCAGCGACTCTCATAACAGTCTCTTCAGTGGTACTATAATAGAGGCTAAGGGTCCAAGCTGTGGAATTTAACAGACGTCTCTCCAAGAATTAAAATGTCATAATGGGCAAGTCACTTATTTTCTCTTAAATTGCTATCTCCTGTCTGTTAATTGGATGTAATAATAGTATTTCTCCACTCCACCTCCTAGGTAGATGAGAA